>NC_000017.11:3824444-3975959 GCF_000001405.40 Homo sapiens | reverse complement strand
CGTGGCCAGGCACGCTGTCTCACGGCTGTCATCTCAGCACTTTGGGAGGCTGAGGCGGGTGGATCACCTGAGGTCAGGAGTTCGAGACCAGCCTGGCCAACATGGTGAAACCCCATCTCTACTAAAAATACAAAAATTGGCCAGGCGCGGTGGCTCACGCCTGTAATCCCAGAACTTTGGGAGGCCGAGGCGGGTGGATCACAAGGTCAGGAGATTGAGACCATCCTGGCTAGCACGGTGAAACCCCGTCTCTACTAAAAATACAAAAAATTAGTCAGGCGTGGTGGCAGTCACCTGTAGTCCCAGCTACTTGGGAGGCTGAGGCAGGAGAATGGCGTGAACCTGGGAGGCAGAGCTTACAGTGAGCAGATATCGTGCCACTGCACTCCAGCCTGGGTGACAGAGTGAGACTCTGTCTCAAAAAAAAAAAAAAAAAAAAAAAAAATTAGCCAGGCATGGTGGTGGGTGTCTGTAATCCCAGCTATTCAGGAGGTTGAAGCAGGAGAATTGCTTGAACCTAGGAAGCAGAGGTTGCAGTGAGCCGAGATTGCACCACTGCACTCCAGCCCAGGCAACAGAGCAAAACTCCGTCTCAAAAACAAAACAAAACAACAAAAACACACACACACACACAAAAACCCCTGCCCATACAATGGGGTGCCGCCTGATGTATCTCATGAGGAGGATGGCGCACACTTATGGATGTGGGTATGCTCATCCCTTCTTTCACTTTCTAGTATTTGCACCCTGCTTCTTTTTCTTGTCTTATTGCATTGGCTAGAACCGCCTTCATTTAACCAATCAATGTCTTTGAGAGTCCAGTAAATGCCAGACTGGGTGCCACGAACTGAGATGGAGCGGTGTGTGCCACAGACACCACGGCTTCTGCCCCCAGGACATCCCCACCCTAGAGAGCAACTTTACAATGACCTTCGTGCAGTGGGCTGGACTGTAGAGACCTCATGATGACTCGGATACAGCGCCTATTCTGGACAGACACACAGTGTGGGTGCTGTGGATGACAATTAGGAGCACACAAGCTGATGGCTGCTCAGGAGGCACAGGCCACTGGCTCCTGAGAGATCCAGGGGGACTTCTTGGAGAAGGCAGCATTGAAGCCGGGCTTTGAAGAATGCTGAGGGTTTAGACATGTACAGATGAGAAGAAGAAGTTTCCCAGGATGGGTAACAACAGACATGGAAAAGGGCTGGGAGCAGTATAGAGCAAAACAGTTCAATGGGAGGAACTCTAAGGTGCTGGGAGTGGATGTGGGAGCAGGAGCGTGAGATGAGGCTGGCGAGATGGACTTCAGGCCAAGCTGCGGAATTGATCTGAACTAGGTGACAGAGGGAGTCACTGAAGGCACGTGAGCAGGAGGGTAGCAGCAGGGCTGCCTGGGGAGGGGTGGGAGCAGCAGAGGGAGAAGGCAGGCCCCGAAGGAGCAGGCCCAACCTCACACGGCTGGCCCCCTCTTCCTGAGGTCCAGGGGTGTCTCCGTCTGCCGCTGGGAGGGAGAGGACAGCTTCCTCTCCTCGGTCTGGTTGGGGAGATAACGGGGAGAGGACAGGAAGTTGCCTCAAGGAGCGCAGGAGTGAGCTGCCTGGCCCCGGATCCCCTGCCCCGCTCTGTGCAGGGTGTTCCTGTAGAGATGGAGGCAAGAGGGCAGGAGGCGGGTCCCCTTGGGCCAAAATGCAACAGTCCAAGTGTCCTGGGCTGGTTGGGGGCCCTGGGTGCCTGCTCGGTCCTGCTGACCACACATCCCCACTTCCCTGGGCCCCAGAAGACCAGAGTGTGCTCCACTCCCAGAAAGAGGCTCCAGAGTGTTCCCACCTAACTTAGTCATTCAACAAACACCCCTGACACCTCCCGGGAGCAGCATCGAGTTGGGTGAGGTGGCTGCCAGAGAGGGGAGCAGGGCGGACAGTGAACACCCAGAGGACCAGGTGCAGGGTACTCGGCGGGTCGACCAGGAGGGAGTGGGAGGGAGCCCTATTGGCCTCAGGGATTGAGGGGCTTACAGTCCTTTAGGATGGGTAGGAATTAGCCAGCTGAGAGATAGGTGTTACGAGCAGACAGAAGGGCATGGGCAAAGACCCAGAGCTAGAAACTTCCTACTGTGTGCAGGAGCTGAATGTGGCTCAGTGTGGCCCCCACTACTGTGTGCAGGGGCTGGATGTGGCTCAGCGTGGCCGCTACTGTGTGCAGGGTCTGGATGTGTCTCAGTGTGGCCCCTACTGTGTGCAGGGTCTGGATGTGTCTCAGTGTGGCCCCTACTGTGTGCAGGGGCTGGATGTGTCTCAGTGTGCCCCCTACCTACTATGTGCAAGAGCGGGATGTGTCTCACTGTGGACCCCCTACTGGTGCAGGGGCTGGATGTGTGTCAGTGTGGACCCCCTACTGTGTGCAGGAGCTGGATGTGGCTCAGTGTGGCCCCCTACCTACTGTGTGCAGGAGCTGGATGTGTCTCAGTGTGGACCCCCTACTGTGTGCAGGAGCTGGATGTGGCTCAGTGTGGCCCCCTACCTACTGTGTGCTGGGGCTGGATATGTCTCAGTGTGGACCCCCTACTGTGTGCTGGGGCTGGATGTGTGTCAGTGTGGACCCCCTACTGTGTGCAGGAGCTGGATGTGGCTCAGTGTGGCCCCCTACCTACTGTGTGCAGGAGCTGGATGTGTCTCAGTGTGGCCCCCCTACTGTGTGCAGGGGCTGGATATGGCTCAATGTGGGTCTCATGGGAGGCAGGAAGTGGTGAGGGTGGGGTCGGCACCTGAAGGGAAAGTCTTGAGGGCTGGATGGTGGCTGAGAGGGCAGAGCTGATGAGGTGGGAGGGTGGGAGTCTCGAGGCTCCTAGGAGGACCCATCATAGAGCACAGAGAGAGGCTGGAGGAGCCAGGTGTGAGGTGGCTCCAGGCCAGGGGGGTCTAGGCCCAGGAGGATGGATGGGGTGCATCAGAGACTCACACAGGGGTCCCGAAGCCCAAAAGACGACAACAAAAGAACTTGGGGTCCGGGCAAGATAATAGGGGGGTGTCGCCCACCCTGAACAGCTGGGAGCCAAGGTCCTCCCCTGCCCCTCCCCTGAGGGAAGGCTGTCAAATAGGGAGCTGGGGTGGGGGCTTAAAACAGCAGACCCGATGCTCAGATGACATCAGATAAGACGAACAAACAGGTGACTCGCTGCTCAGCAGCAGGTCTTTAGAACACCTGGGACACCTGTCCACCAGGCCCAGGTGACCCCGAAGAAGAGGAAGGTGAGGTTCCCAAGCCTGCAAGGCTGTTTGCATTTTGACTCAAACCAATTTACAAACCAAAGTGGGGCAGCAGCAGGGCAACCCCGCCACTGTTTTCTGTTCTCTCTGCGGGAAGACGCTGCCCCCGCCACTTCCCCTTCACCACTGACATGACGGTCAGGGGGCTCAGGCCCAGAGGCGGGCAGGCACCTCCAAGACATCACAGCCAGGTCAAGCTTGCAGAGTCTGTTCCCTCAGCCTGCGACACCGTTCCCTCCCCTGTGCCTTCAGATTTCAGAAGTATCCCTTCCTCCAGAAAGCCTCCCGATCTCCCTGACTGGGTGACATCCGCCCTCCACCGCCTGTCATGTTCTCAAGGCAGCTCTGACCACACTGCGATCTGTTGCTGCGTGTGGTTTTCTGGGATGAACGGCTTGCTTCTTTCTCAGGTGTGGCCATGGGGAGAACAAGGACCATGTCTCCAAGAACATGGTGCCATGCCTGGGGCATGCTGGGTCCTTGAAATTTTTCTTTTTTCTTTTCTCTTTTTTTTTTTAGAGATGGGGTCTTGCTCTGTCACCCAGGGTGGAGTGCACTGGCACAATCATGGTTCACAGCCTTGACCTCCTGGGCTCAAGCAGTCCTCCCACCTCAGCCTCCTGAGTAGCTGAGACCACAGGCTACCATACCCGGCTAATTTTTAAAATTGTTTTGTAGAGATGGGGGTCTCCTATGTTGCCCAGCGTGGTCTGAAACTCCTGGCCTCAAGCGATCTTCCCACCTTGGCCTCCCAAAGTGCTGGAATTACAGGTGCGGGCCACCACACCCAACTGATAATTTTGTTTTTTTTTTTTTTTGAGATGGAGTTTTGCTCTTGTCACCCAGGCTAGAGTGCAATAGGGTGATCTTGGCTCACTGCAACCTCCTCCTCCCAGGTTCCAGCGATTCTCCTGCCTCAGCCTCCCAAGTAGCTGAGATTACAGGCGCCCGCCACCAAGCCCGACTAATTTTTGTATTTTTAGTAGAGACGGGGTTTCGCCATGTTGGCCAGGATGGCCTCAAACTCCTGACCTCAGGTGATCCGCGTGCCTCGGCCTCCCGAAGTGCTGGGATTACAGGCGTGAGCTACCGCTCCCAACCAAGAAATATTTTTGAATGAATTAAGCTAGGATAACAAGGGGGCAGAGCCCAGGCCTCCTGCCCCTCCCCGCTGCCCCCCAGCCCTCCCAAACTCCAGCCTGGAACTATCTCCTGAACAGTGGCTCAAACTCTTCATTTTTCTGGAGCAAGACCCTTCCTCAGGGCAGGGTTAGACCCCCTGAGGCCAGGCTGCCCTAAGGTCAGTCCCTGGCTTTTGAGGAGACTGTCCTGGTCCTAGCCCAGCAGAGGACCCAGCAGTCAAAGGACCCAGAGGACCCAGACTCATTTGTGTGTTGAGGAAAGCCATCAACTCACAAAGAGCAGCACATGCCTGGGCCGGGGGTTCCCGCCGAAGCTCTGCCTCAGCCTCCCTGGCTCCATGTCCCTGCTTGAGTCCTTTCCTTTCCCTGGGCCTCAGTTTCCCCTTGTGTACAAGCAGGATTTAGGCCTTCATCTCTGGGGGCCTCCACAGGGGTCTCATTCAGAGTCAACCAAGCGTGCAGGGAAGAGAGTGAATACACAGGGTTGGAGAAGCCAATGAAATGAGTTTCCAAATTTTAGGGAGAGGAGCCGGAAGAGCGATCTAGGCCAGAGGAACTGCATGAACCAACGGGTGACGCTAGGATGTGCAAGGCCAGTGGATCTGGAAGAGACAGGTTTGCCTTGGCTAGGAGCCTGTGGCTAAAGGGCTCTGCTGGGCTGAAGAGTCTAGACTTGATCCTGCCAGTACTAGGGAGCTAAGGGAGGTTCTTGAGGAGAGGAATGAAGTCATGAAAGCACCATCTCGGTGAAGCAATCTTGCTGTACCAGAAGTAAGTCTGGAGACAGGAAGGCCAGGAAGCGGGCTATTGGAAAGGTATAGCTTGAGAGAGAAGAGGGGCCTGAGTTCAGGCAGTGACAGAAAGGCAGGCTCAAGGGGATGGAGCGTGTAGGACATCCTTCTCTGCCCAGCGAAAGCTGCACTGACCTAGTGTTTTGGGACAGACCCCGACAAGCAGGCTGGGGATTGCTTAGGAGCCTGTGCTTTGGAGTCAGATCAGGTTTTAATCCCAGCTGAACGCCCCTGGGCAAGTCCCCGAGGCTCTGTGAGCCTCTCAGGCTTTTATCTGTAAAATGGAAAGAGGACTGGCTACATAATTTGCGGAGCCCAGTGCAAAATGAAAATGAGGACCCTTAGTTTAAAAAACAGAGGGGCCAGGTGCAGTGGCTCCTGTCTGTAATCCCAGCACTTTCTTTGAGAGGCTGAGGTGGGAGGATCCTGGGAGCCCACGAGTTTGAGACTGGCCTAGGCAACAAAGTGAGACCCTGCCTCTACAAAAAAGTTTAAAAAATAATTAGCCAGGCACGGTGGTGCGCACCTACAGGCCCAGCTACTGTGGAGGCTGAAGCGAGAGGATGGCTTGAGCCCAGCATTTGGAAGTTGCAGTGAACCATGATTGCACCACTGCATTCCTGCTGGGCAACAGAGTGAGACCCCATCTCAAAAGAATTTAAAAAATAAAATAAAATGAAAAACCGGGGAAAGAGTCTCATTAAAGGCACTAAAATATAAAACTTTTCCTTTCTCGTGCAGTCTCGCTCAACTTGTCATGGTGCTTTTGAAAAATCTACACTTTAATTTTCTTTTTCTTTTTTTTTGAGACAGAGTCTCACTTTGTCGCCCAGGCTGGAGTGCAGTGGCATGATCTCGGCTTATTGCGACCTCCACCTCCCGGGTTCAAGCAATTCGCAATTCTCCTGCCTCAGCCTCCCGAGTAGCTGGGACTACAGGCATGCGCCACCACACCAGGCTAATTTTGTATATTTTTGGTAGAGACGGGGTTTCACCATGTTGGCCAGGCTGGTCTCGAACTCCTGACCTGAGGTGATCCACCTGCCTTGGCCTCCCAAAGTTCTGGGATTACAGGCGAGAGTCACGGCACCCAGCCTACAAATTCATTTTCTAAGAAAAGAAGAAATAAAAATTCTAATAATTTGCATGAAATTTTTTCATTTATCTTTACTTTGTGCAATGCCCGTTTTAAATGCAAAATGAAGAGCATTTAACTCATATGTGTAATCACTAAAATGACCAAGTCTTGGCGTGTAGCTTGTACATGCACATACATTTTGTTCTGACCAGAACAGGAAAATGCCGTACAACATGGACTCGGCTGTTTCCATTTCACTTGTCAATATGAATACACTCCTCCAACACCCTCTGCCTTTGCTTTACTGATGAGTAAAGAAGGGCTGAAAAGAAAAGGAACTGTGGGTTGCCTTATCTTTTCCTTTCCTTCTGTGTCATCATGTTGAATGCGAGTGGTTGTTGAACGCAGGGAAGTAATGTGAGTAAGAAATGATATGATAGGGACCCCGACCTTTCGTGTTTCTCAGAACACTACTGTCTTCTTTCTGCATGAAGCAAATTCGGGTTCAAATGGAAAGCAGGGCCTCTCGGCTGTCAGCACCCCACTTACTCAGTCGCAGACATAACACATTCACCCTAGACTTGATTCGAGTCCACTCAACTCCCACCCACCATGAGTCCACCAGAATTGTGTGCTCACGAGCACAGTGAGCACTTTACGGGAGAGAGATGGCGTATTAAACGGGCCTCTTTGGCTCACAGCATGCCCCGTTTTCCCAACGGGCTTCACTTACAAAGCACAAGTTCAAAGAGAAAATTACTATATTAAGAATTTCAAAGGGCCAGGCACGGTGGCTCACTCCTGTAATCCCAGCACTTTGGGAGGCCGAGGCGGGCAGATCACCTGAGGTTGGGGGTTTGAAACCAGGCTCACCGACATGGAGAAACCCCGTCTCTACTAAAAATACAAAAATTAGCCCGGTGTGGTGGCGGGCACCTGTAATCCTAGCTACTCGGGAGGCTGAGGGAGGAGAATCGCTTGAACCCAGGAGGCGGAGCTTGCAGTGAGCCGAGATCACGGCCACTGCACTCCAGCCTGGGTGACAGAGCGAGACTCTGTCTCAAAAAAAAAAAAAAAAAAAGAATTTCAAGATGGCGGTTGGAGAGCATTAAACCAAGTGGGAGGCCGGGCATGGTGGTGCGTTCCCATGGTCCCAGCCACTCAGGAGGCAGAGGCAAGAGGAGCACTTGAGTCCAGGAGTTGGAATCCAGCCTGGGCAACATAGCGAGACCCCCATCTCTAAAAACAGCCACAACAAAAATCAAGCAGACGGTCCTTCTGACAACTGGTGACCTGCGCAGGTTGCATGCCCATGAAGCCAGCTCTGAATGGGGATAATAAAATCCTCCTCCAGGGTTACTGTGAGGGTTAAATGGGAGTAACTTGTGAAACAAGCTTAGCATATGGTGAATGTTCAAGTCAGTGGCTCTAATCACAGATATTTCCCTACACAGCTTAGAGGCCCCTCCCCTGGGGAGGCCTGAAGGAAATCAGGGTGCTGGGGCATGACCCTGACTACCGCTCCATGGTCCTTTCAGCCATGGCTCTCCCTTTTAATCTCTTCTCCATACCAGCTTCTATGGGGGACTTTTCTAGCAGGCAAACCTGGCCCCATCTCTCCATTGCTTAAAACCCTTCAGTACAAAACCCAGGACATAACATAGACAATCGAGGTTCTCAGTGTCCTAGCCCTGTCTCTCTAATCTGCCCTCCTGGTCCTTGCACTCCTGCTCCTTACGATCCAGCCACACTAAGGGATCAAATCACTATCCCTGACATATGGCTGAGATTTCTCACCTTCAACTCAGGCTGTTGTTTTCTGCGGGCAGCACCCTCTTCTCCATGTGTCTGAATATTTCCAGAAAAGCTGGGTGTGGTGGCTTACACCTGTAATCCCAGCACTTTGGGAGGCTGAGGCAGCTGGATGAGTAGAGAAGGACTGAAAATAAAAGGAACTGTGGGTTGCCTTATCTTCACCATGCCTGGCCAACACGGTGAAACCCCATCTGTACTAAAAATACAAAAATTAGTGAGACCAGCCTGGCCAACATGGTGAAACCCCGTCTCTACTAAAAATACAAAAATTAGCTGGGCATGGTGGCAGGTGCCTGTAATCCCAACTACTTGGGAGGCTGAGGCAGGAGAATCACTTGAACCCCGAAGGCAGAGGTTGCAGTGAACCAAGATTGTGCCACTGCACTCCAGCCTGGGCGACAGAGCAAGACTCAGTCTCAAAAAAAAATAAAAAATAAAAATAATAAATAAATAAATAATAATTCCAGGGAAGACCTCTGTTTCCTCATGCCCACCCGGGCCCCCTCAGGTGAGGCGGGTAGATATACTTCTGCTAGATAGGTGGTATGTTCTGCCACCTTCTGTCTGGTGGAGGAGGTGGCAAAAGCCGTGTCTAGGTGCCAGGCATGGAGTTCTTGGTTCCTGGCAGCTGGGAGGTGGAGAATGTGGACCTGCCCTTTGGACAGCCTGCCTGTGACCATGTCGCCCTGGCCACCAGCTGTGTGTCTGTCCAGGTACAAAAAGAGAGCATGGCGGGGAGGGACGTGAGCCCGGGGCAGGCAGCTGGAGTGTGAAATGACTGCATGTGATTCTGTGGGAGCTGGGGGGGCACCCAGAAGTTGTGACAGGGGCAGCCGAGCAGGCGGGCATGCTGACAGGTGTGTGAGCCTGCCAGGTGAGGGCCCCGGTTGCTGGCAACTGTTTGTCCTGCCATGGCGGTTTGAAGGTAGGGTGGGGTGGGCTGGAGAAATGGAACATAGGCCTGGCTGCCAGAGCAAACAGTCAGGCCTTCTGGCCCTACCTTCTAGCAAATACCAACTCACAGCTGAGGGTGCGGTGGAGCGGGAGAGGCTGGGGTTAAGGTCCCTAGGGCCAGCAGAGAAGAAGTCAGACCTCAAGATGTGTGTGTAGGGTGGAGCAGGGGTTTCCCAGCGGCTTGAACGCCTAGGGCTCCCGATCTCTGGGAAATAGGGCTCTAGCGGGGAGCTGTGAGGCTCTGTCCCCAGTCAAGTCCTGGCTAACATTTTTCCTGGCAACTTAGGGATACAGTTGGGATTTTGTGGACTATAGCAGTGGGGGAGAAAGGAATAGGGTGGAAATATCTGGGGATATCAGACTTGAGATATAAAATGTCAGGCTGAGCGGGATGCAGTGGCTTATACCTGTAATCCCAACATTTTGGGAGGCCGAAGTGGGTCGATCGCTTGAGTCCAGGAGTTTCAGACCAGCCTGAGCAACATTGGGAAACCCTGTCTCTACAAAAAAAAAAAAAAAAAAAAAAAAAAAAAAAAAAAAAAAAAAACCTGGGCGTGGTGGCTCACGCCTATAATCCCAGCTACTTGGGAGGCTGAGGTGGGAGGATCGCCTGAGCCCGGGAGGCAGAGGTTGCAGTGAGCCGCGATCATGCCACTGCACTCCAGCCTAGATGACAGAGCCAGATCCTGTCTCAAAAAAATAATAATGGGGCTGGGCACGGTGGCTCATGCCTGTAATACCAGCACTTTGGGAGGCTGAGGTGGGTGGATCACCTGAGGTCAGGAGTTCAAGACCAGCCTGGCCAACATGGCGAAACCCTGTCTCTACAAAAAAAAAAAAAAAATACAAAAAATAGCTGGATGTGGTGGCGGGCGCCTGTAATCCCAGCTACTCGGGATGCTAAGGCAGGAGAATCTCTTGGACCTGAGAGGTGGAGGTTGCAGTGAGTTGAGATGTCGCCTCGCCACTGCACTCCGCCTGGGCGACAGAGTGACACTACGACTCAAAGAAATTAAAAAAAAAAAAAAGGAAAATAATAATAATAATAATAATAATAATAAAATCAATAAATAAAATACCAGGCCGGAGGAGCCACAACCAGAAAACCAGCATTCCTCTAGCTCCACAGCACCAGGCTGAGACGCAGCTGATATCAGGGAATCCATCTGGATCACCCATCAAAAGCCCCAAAGCACCTTTCGGTCCAGCCAGTCCTCAGGGAGTGTCTTTGCTCAGGGAGGCACCGAGAGGCGGAGAGGAGGAGGGGCCCAGTCCTGTCCCAGGAGGAAGAGCACAGAATCTGGGGGTGTGCATGATCTGGATAGGGGTCAGCAGCTCCAGACCAGGCTGGAAGTTGAGGCTCTCAGGAGCGGGTGAGGGGCTGTGTTGTTGGGGCAGGGCGCAGCTGCAGCTATCTGGGAAAGCTTCCTGGCTGCAGAGGCACAGAAGGGGTTTGGGGTTTGAACAGCCAGCTGTGCGGGCTCAATCCTGGCATCTCTGACCCTGTGCAGCCTTGGTGGATGGCAGAGACTGAGGCTCTAGAAGGCAGAGCCCAGCTCGTGGTGGGAGGCAGATAAGGGCTGGGGTGAGGCTGTCTGGGTCTCTCAAGCTGGAGGGAGCGGCAATCAGGCTGTTCTCTTAGCTCCTCCTTTTGGCGGGGCGAGTGGTTTCTGCCTTCCTGCGACTTCCTCCTCTGACCCGCTGCCACTTCTCCTGGCCCTCCTGGGGCGGGTGGAGCTCGGGAGCGCTGAGGCGGAGGCTCATCCATCTCTCCCCTCCCTGGGCCAGGGTCAGTCCCCTGGGAGCCCTGGGCAGAGACCCCCCCACCCCACCCTCTCGGGCCCCTCTGGGGAGCCCCACCTTTGCTCCCTGGTTACATTTCCTGCTGGGGTGACGGTGTGAGTCTAGGGTAACGAGCCTGGTTTTCTGAACTTTCTTATGCACCGGCTCTTTGTTAAAGGTTCTGGTTATGTGAGGAATAACCCCTCGCCGGTGGGCATTGGAAAAGAATAAAGAAAGCAGAAACACCAAATAAGGAGAACATCCAGCACTTTCCTCTAGAGAAGACCCGCTTATTCAGAGGCTTTCGGGTTCCCTCTGGAGTCACTTCGCAGAATTCGAGCTGGGAAGCAGGACGCCCCGGGCCCAGGAGAGCCCAGAGGAGGCGACGCGCAGCCCAGAGCCGGGTGCTCCGCAGACCGCCCCAGCTCTCGGCCAGATCCCACCCCTAGCAGCTCCGCGGACCGGGACCGAGGACCCCCGGGCCACGCGCCCCCGGCTCCCGACAGGCCCAGCACGCGCCCCGCGGGCGGTCTCAGTTTCCCCTCTGCAGAATGGGCGGGGGACCCAGGCGGTGCGCCCCGGGGCGCGGAGGGCGGCCGGAAGGGGTGTGATGGGGGGCGGGCCCCGCGCCGCCCCGCCCCGGGGAGGGAGTCCCGGGCGCAGCATCCTGGCGCGGGCCGGGGCCGCCGCCGCCACTGCCGTCGGGTAAGGTCCCAGCACGGACATGGCCTCGCGCGGCGCCCGCCCGGGCCCGAGTCCCCCGCGCCCCGCTTTGTAGCCCCCCGGCGGAGAGGCGGCCTCGACGGTGCGGACGGCGCAGACGGCCGGGCGGGCGGCATGGAGGCGGCGCATCTGCTCCCGGCCGCCGACGTGCTGCGCCACTTCTCGGTGACAGCCGAGGGCGGCCTGAGCCCGGCGCAGGTGACCGGCGCGCGGGAGCGCTACGGCCCCAACGGTGAGCGCGCGGGCCGGGCCGGGCCGGGGAGCGGGGGCCGCGCGCGCCGCAGTCTCAGTTTCCCCTCCTGCCTCCCCACCCGGCTCTGGGCGGGCAGGAAGCGAGGGCTCCGGAAACCTCTTCGGATGCTCCTGGGGCACCCGGCGGGGCTGCGCGGCCACCTTCGCCGGCGCCGGGGCTGGGGGCTGGGGGCTGGGAGCGGGTTCCAGCTGGGGAGACCGGACGCCTGGCACCCTCTGCGCGGTCCTCCCGGACTTCCCACCTCCACTCCGGCCCCGTCCACCCTGGAAGCGTTATTCCACCCCATCCTGGACCGTATTCCACCCCAACGCCGCGCCGCTCCCGCTGGCATCCTGCAGGTGCAGCGCAGACACCGGCGGGCGAGGGACGGCCGGAGACTCAGGCTCGGCCTCCCAGCTGGCCCCAGGGTCTCCCCTGAGGGCTCCAGAAAACGCCCAGGAAGGTGCCGCTTATCAGCTAGCAGCCTTGGGGCCCCCACCCCCACCCCAGGTCTTCCTCTTTCTGCAACCCGAAGCGGATGTGGCTGGCGGAGTCGGTGGGGGCTTTGAACTGCTGAGGCGGGAGACCCACCTTCCTGGGGTGGCGGAGTCAAGGCCTCAGGGAACTGCCAGGGAGGCCTTTCCCATCTCTGGGGAGGGAGGGAGGCTTCACTATCATTTCATCCTCACCTCCTTCAAAGGAGTGTGGGATTCTTGCTCTTGCCAAAAGGCACATTGAGTGCCACCGGGTACTGTCCAGATGTGGCCTGGCACCTTGGAGGTCCCATGAGGGTGGAAAATACAGAGGTGCCCTCCCCACATCCCTTCCAGGCAGGACCTGCCACCCCCTTGCTCATGCCCGCAGCATCGGGCAGAGTGTGAGGGATCCCAGGAGAAATACCCTCACCATCTACAGAGGGCAGCCTGGGTCTGCATCCTTTGGGGACTTGGAGCCTTGCCCTTTTGGGGTTCCCAGCCAGCCAGAGGGGAAGGTATTCTAGCCCTGGGATCCTACTACTCAGGGCTAGCTTGAAAATTAGGAAGAAGTGTCAGAAAAGGACTTTTGGGTTTTGTATTGGTTTATGAAAACCACCTCTTATATAAATATTATCTTTCTGGAGCAGAAATCCTTTTTCAAAAAAATTAGTTGCTATATTTAGTTGAGCTGTGGGAGGAACTGGGGAGATAAATATTATTTAATATCCCCCATTAGTGACTTGGCAGGGAGGTTGTGCTTTGCTGCAGGAGAGCTGGGCAGCATGGGCTGCCTCTGACCCTGGGGTGGGCTGGGGGCGAGGGCCGGCGCAGGCAGGTCTGCGGTCCCACTGCCTCTTTTGTGCTGCTATAGCCTCCAGCTTGGGAATCCTGATTCCTGAGGGAAACTGGAGACGCAGCCCTTGGCCTGTCCCTGGAATCACACAAATACTGCTTCTGTACGACCCTAGCCAGGTCTGTCTTCATTCTGATATCATGTCTTCATTGGTCCAGCGGAGGAGGAACTGACTGGGAGGGAGGGAGCCCCAGCCTTCCCCACCTGTTATTTGGTTAGATGAGATCCTTGGGGTGCCCTGGCCAGCGCACACCTGTGTGAACTGATGGGGAAGGCTGTGGGCTTGGCGTGGTGTGTAGGTCCACAGAGGGTGGATGTGTGTTGGGGTGTGATGGGAAAAGTTGGGGAGGGATATTGCTGGGCTCCCCTGGATCCTCTGGGCATTGATAGTATTAATAATAAAAGCTGATGTTCACTGAGCACTTACTATGTGCCAGGTTCTAGTCTCAGCATTTTTCATCTATTATCTCATTTCTTCCCCAAAACAACTCCATAAGGGAAGGACTGTTGTCATCCCCATTTTATACAGCAGGAAACGGAGGCACCCAGAGGTTAAACCACTTGCCCGAGGTCACATAGTAGGTGGTGGAGCTGGCACTGGTTACCTGCTCCTCTCTGGGCCTCAGTTTCCCCATCTGTACAAGACAGTCACAAGTTCTGCAGGATGCAGAACCCTGGTGTGGGCGTCTGTGCTAGGAGTTTGGGTCAGCCGGCAGCAGCTTTTTCAGCTTTGCCTCCAGCCTTCTTGGGTCCCTAGAGGGCTCTTCTCTCAGATCACTGATTGGGGCTGGGGGCATTCCAGGGCTCTAGAAGTCTTTAGGTGAGCAGAGGGGAGCCAGCTGTTCCTTCCTGCCTCAGGCTTGCCATGGCTTGAGGAGGAGGTGCAGATGTCCCTAGCACAGCTGCTGGGGTGGAGCTGATGAGGCTTTGAACCCTAGCCCTGCCCCTTCATAGCTGTGCAATGCTGGACCAGCCTCTTTGCCTCTCTGTGCCTCGGTTTCTTCACCATAAGCGAGGCTGCCATAGAACCCATCTCCCAGGGTTGTTTGTGAGTCTTTAGTGAGGTCACAGACACCAAGTCATCCTTCCTTGTCGCAGAAGAGGCTGGGGCGGGCTCCTGGCCACAAGCTGGGTGGCAGGGTGGGTCAGGCCTGAGGGCAGAAGGGACACCCCAGAGACATGTGTTCTCCCCACCCCAGGAGTCTGTGCACCTGCAAGGTCGTTATTGTTGGAAACCACAAGGAAGTCATTTGCTTAAGTCCTGAAGCTTGCAAATTCTGCCAGGGGAGGGAGGCAGCGGCTGGGCATCCCACCCCCACCTTCCCACCCTCCTCCCTCACTGCACACAGACACTTCAGAGCTGGGGAGCCTCGGCAGCGCAGTCAGTGAGCACGCTAGCCAGGGACCCCCTCCACTCACACATAAAACCCCATCTGCCGTAACCCCCAACAGGGAGTGAGTGGGGAGGCTCCTGGCCCCAGCACCTCCTGTGAGCCCACCTTTGCAGGTGCCAGAGGTACCCAGAGTTCAGCTTCCTTGGGGGGCTTTTACTTGTACATCTTTTTTATTTTTGAATAAAAATGTGCACAGTGCAACATTCAAGGGGTTCAAAAGGTATACAGTAAATTCTCCGCCCCGTCCCCAGCCACCCATTCCCAGTCCTCCCAATATCTTGTGTCTTCTTCCCAAGACAGTCCGTGCATATACACATCTGGAGCTGTGATCTTGTGATCTTTTCCCACACGGAAGCAGGAGGAGGATAAGTGCTCTTTGTCCCTGCTTTGACCTTGACAGTCATTCTTGGAGCCGGTGCCAGGAGGAGCACGGTGGGGCTTCCTAGTGGCTGCATGGCATTTCGGCGTGCGGCTTTTCTCTGACTTCTGGTGGACGCTTGTGTTGTTGGCAGCCTCTGCTATGACACGCAGTATTGCAGAGTATCCTTGTTGCCACATCATGTCACGCGCTTGTGAATATCACTGAAGGACGCATTCCTGGGGGTGGAACTGTGGGGTCTAAGTGGGTGTATATTTTCAGTGTCGTCAGCTGTCACTAAACTTCTCTGTGCAGTTGTGCCGACTGAACGGCTGGTTCTCTGCTGCCTCGCCAGCACAGGGTGGGATCAGACGGTCTGATCTGTGCCAGTCAGGTGGAAGAGTCCTCTCGTAGGTTTGCTTGGCATCTTTCTGTTTAAAGTCACATTGGGTGTCTTTTCATATGTTAAGGAGCCACCAAATGGGCTGCCCATCTCCTCTGCTGGACTGGAGCCAAGGCAAGAGACCTGGCTGTGTTGGGCATGTCCTTTCTGTAGCTAAAGTCCCTGGAGACCCCAGTGACCTGAGAGTCGGGCAGATCCCAGGAGGTCTTCTGGGGTGGTCTCTGTTCAAGGGAGCTGGCAGGCCGGGCAGAAGCCTGCCTTCCCGGGCCACACGCGGCCCATGTGCAGTGAGCGCCTTGGCCCCAGGGCTGCCAGGTGGGATGAGTGGTCCAGATTTAGACTCCTGCCAGCGGCGTCTTGGCTCTGGCCTTATTTGCTGCCCTCAAATAAGTTCCAGGCCATAGCTGGTGCTGAAACTCGGGCAACCCATATGCGTAGCCCACGGAAACCAGGCCAAGAGGAACGGAGTGTGTCAGGAAGAGGGGGCCATCTGAGTGGCCCTGCTTGCTGGGTGGCATTGGGCAGACTTGGCCCTCCCTGGACCTGCTGCTCCTCAGGATAGCAGGGATGGGACCCTGGGATCCCCTAAGGGCCTTGCGGGATCTGAGAGGGTGTGGTTTGCCCACAGCCCTTTGGAAGCTCAACGTCTTTCATGCTTCACCCTAGTTTTCACTCCCACTGGCCCCTGCTGGGCAGCTGAAGCCCCCCAGGAGCAGCATCAGGCCTGCCCAGCTGGGCCCCCTCACCCTCTTACACCCTAAGGCAGGGCCTGTATTTTCCCATAGCACAGTCGGACGAAGAGATGTTGAGCAAACCCTTCATCTCCAGCTCCGGATAAGCCAGGGGTGCTGCAGGCCCCGCTGCAGAGCGGAGAGCTACTTCCAAGGCCCCGCAGTGGCTCCCGCAGAGCAAGGTCAGGTGTCCACTCTAGGTGGACCCCGGAGACACAGGCAGGGCCAGGTGGGCTGGGCGGGTCTTGCCCAGCCAGGGCCTCTTCCTGACTCTGCAAGTGACGATTTAATTGCTCTGTAAATTTACCTTTGAGGAAGACCTGGGTGAGTGCTTGCCTCTCCCGGCTGGAACTGACATTTAGAAGCTGAAATACCAGTTTCCAATGAAGGAAGGAGTAGAGGGGGGATGAGGGGAGCAGGTGGTGTGGAGCCTGGGGGCAGCCCAGGGGCATCGCTTACCCCCCTTCTCCCTGGCTCTGGACTGTGGGCTCAGGGCCCTGGCCTGCACCACGGAGCAACTGAGTAAACAATGACTGTAAGGACTCAGCATAAACACAGGGATGACTCAGCCCCGCCCCACCCTGGAAGTGTTCCAGTGTGGTGGGGGGACCCTAATACTGACAACTGGTCAGAGAAGGGCACAGCGATGAGGTAGGGGAGGGGCTTTCAGAGAAGGCTTCCTGGAAAGGGGGTTTATATGAGGAGATAGGATGCTGCTGTGCACAGAAGGAATGGCACAAGCAAAATGTTGGAGGAGGAAGGCCGGGCGCGGTGGCTAGCACCTTGGCATCTCAGCACCTTGGGAGGCCGAGGTGGGTGGATCACTTGAGATCAGGAGTTCGAAACCAGCCTGGCCAACATGGTGAAACCTCATCTTTACTAAAAAATAAAAATAAAAAATTAGCCAGGCATGGTGGCAGGCGCCTGTAATCCCAGCTATTTGGGAGGCTGAGGCAGGAGAATCGCTTGAACCCAGGAGGCAGAGGTTGCAGTGAACCAAGATTGCACCACCGCACTCCAGCCTGGGCAACAGAATGAGACTCCATCTGAAAAAAAACAATATATATATATGTGTGTGTGTGTGTGTGTATATATATATATATATATATTTATATATGTGTGTGTGTATATATATGTGTGTATATATATATGTGTGTATATATATGTGTATATATATGTGTGTGTATATATATGTGTGTGTATATATATGTGTGTCTATATATATGTGTATATATATGTGTATATATATATATATATGAATGAGGAGGAGAAGGTTTTGCAAAACGGGATTATCAACACATCACGCTGGACCCCATAATTGTGTACAATTATGATTTGTCAATTACAAATACACTAAAAAGCAGGGGTGGCAATCCTGAGGCTTGGCTAACAGAGGGACAGATGTGCATTCGGGATACAGACATGATCCTAGAAGGGCAGGTGGGGACAGATCCAGGAAGGCCCTGAAGCCCGTGCTAAAGTTGGTCTTTATTCTGTAGGCCAAGGACAGCCACTGAAGCTCTGTGAACAGGACAGAGGCAGGGTCAGTCATCCATCACATATGTTTACTGAGCACCTGCTATGCTCCAGGAGCTGCTCTGGGTGCTGGAGACGCTGCGCTTAACGAAGTCCTGCTGCCCTAGAGCTTATATTCTAGCAAGTGATTCTGGCTGGAGCGTGTTCACTGTGTGCTACGCATTCCAAGTGCTTTATGCATGCCGTTCAATCTTCCGGCATCCCTGTGAGGTACTTACATTTATCACCCTCTTTTTGCAGATGGAGAAACAGACACAGGGGATTAGGTAACTGGCCTGTGGCCACAGAAGTACCGTGAGATAGAGCAGGATTTGAACTTGAGCCCTCTGGACCAGATTCCTTGCTCTAAGCCACGAAGCTTCTCTGATCACCTCCCTCTTTTCCCAGGACTGCAGGCTGACTCCCAGGCCTGCACGCTGGGCCTCCGTGAACACAGGCCCTCTCAGTCTGGCAACATGAGCCAGGCAGGGGTCACCGTGGCGGAGGCTCAGATTAGAATAGTGGCCAGCCCCACTGTGGCTCTCAGAGAGAGCGGCACCTCCTGGTCCTGTCTCTGCCCCCTGCAGCCCAGCGGATGGCACTGAGAGTGGGCAGAGCCAGGGCACTCTCTCATTTAACAGATAGGACATCTGGCACTGCCAGAGGCCCAAGGCCGCCATTTCAAGGGGAACTATCTCAGCCTCCAACACGCAGCCTGGGAGAGAGCAAGGAAGGAGGCAGCATCTTCCAGGAATGCCTGGGGTAGGGGATCTCCCAGCCCTGGGCTCCCTCCATCACCCTGGGGCTCATTCATGCGAGGGGAGAATTGGGTCCTTCAGGGTTGCATTTAGAAGCAGATCAGGCCTGAGCAGGCAGAGCCTCGTAAACCCCTAAAGCACCATCAGTGAGGCCAGCAGGGCCTTTTGGACAGGAGGATTTGGGCTGTGGGCTCTCTACAGAGGGGCACGCCGACTGAAGGGATGGGGACATCCAGCCCAACGGTCAGGACATGGGACACCAAGGGTTTTCAGATGAGCTTGGGTGAGCGGTAAAGAGAGTGGAGGAGGGAAGGCAGGACAGCCTAAGAGTTAGCATCGGAGGCCCACAGCAGGGGGTCGAGAACCAGACTGCCTGAGCTCAAAACCCTTCCCTGTCTCCCCCGCTGTGTGACGGTGAACTAGTCACTCAACCTCTCTGTTGTGTACTCTGTAAAATGGGCATAACAATGGCATCCTCCTTCCCAGCTTGTTTGCGGATCATGAGAATAAGGCACGCAAGGAGTTAGCAGGGTGTCTGGCGCACACCACCAGCTGCTGCTGCTATGACCTCCGCTAAGCACCTCACGTGCTCGGTCCCCAGCGTCTTCCCATTTGTTCTCTGGTGATAATGCGGTAAGGCACCTGGTACATTGCTTGGCAGGTGCTTGGTAAATGTGACTCTTAACAGTAATGATGATGATGATCACCACAGCAGGCCTTCAAAGTGGGTGTGGGTACCCCACCTCCCAAATGAGGCTCAAGGCCCCACAAGGAGCTGGCTGTGTGGGCAGGACCAGAGCTGTGCTCAGCGGCAGGTCAGGCCTCCCCAGGTGGGCGGGGTGAGAGGGGAGCTTTGCGGAGGAAGCCAGGTCACAGCGGAGGGGGTATCAGTCAGGTTCAGCTTGGATACTGCAGCAATCGCCTCCAAATCTCTCTTGGCACCTTAAAGGACCAGAGGCTCATTTCTCACTCCTGCTGAGTGCTGGCAGCAGGCTGGTCCCCGGGTGCTCTGTGCCTTCCTCATTCTGTGACCCAGGTCGATGGAGCAGACACCATCTCACAGGCTGCTGGCTGCTGTAGGAGAGAGTGTCAAAGAGCTCCAGCCGCTTGGCTATTTACATTTAAATGCATGAAAATTAAAGTAAAATTCGAAATTAGTCACAGTCCAGGGGCTCGCCAGCTGCATGTGGCTAGTGGCTGCGGTCCTGGCCAGCACAGACGGAGGATACTTCTGCTCTCACAGAACATTCTACTGGACAGTGACCTCCTAGAAAGTCCCCCACCAAAAGTCAATGCTCCAACCTGGCACGAATACACATCCTTCTTCTCAAAACTCACACGGGGGCCGGGAAGTGCCCTCCTACTATGTGCCCACAAGGTGGGGGAGAACCAGAAATATTTGGGGAACAACATAATGAGCACCAAAGACTGGATCCTGGGTCAGGGTGGGTCAGAGAGCAGAAGGGGAGATGATCCAGGTAGACAGGTAGAGAAAGGTGAACTGAGCCGGGCGCGGTGGCTCACACTTCTAATCCCAGCACTTTGGGAGGCCGAAGTGGGTGGATCACCTGAGGTCAGGAGTTCGAGACCAGCCTGGCCAACATGGTGAAACCCCGCCTCTACTGAAAATACAAAAATTAGCTGGGCGTGGTGGCAGGCACCGGTAATTCCAGCTACCCGGGAGGCTGAGGCAGGAGAATCGCTTGAACCTGGGAGGCGGAGGTTGCAGTAAGCCAAGATCCCGCCACTGCGCTCCAGCCTGGGCGAGAGAGCAAGACTCCATCTCAAAAAAAAAAAATAAAATAAAATAAAATAAGAGAAAGGAGAACTTGAGAGACCAGCCGGGGCAGGCAGGAGGCATCATGGGGACCTTTGTGGGGAAGTCCAGGACTGGAGCTGGCACGTGTACCCCATGACACGCTTCCCAACCCCAGGCCTCGCCCCTGCCCAGAATAAAGAAAGGTGAGGGTTACAGGCATCCCCCGGGAAGAGCCCAGCACAAGCCCACCCATGCGCACCATGAGGTTAGTGCTGTCCTGATTCGAGGCTGGGGCATGGCTGGGGTGACCTCGAAAGCACACTGCTCCATTGGAGAATTGGCCCAGAAACCAGTCCTGGCCCTCCCCCCGCCTTTCCTGTTCGCCTCAGCTAAATAGATCAGAAGGAAAAAGTCTGTTTGATTTTAATCTCGACGCAGGACACTGGAGATTACATTTTCCACGGAAAATGTCAGCCACTGCCGAAAATAGGACTTTGGAGAAAATGCTAGAAAGTGTATTTTTAGGCTATATATTTCCCTCCTGGATTCCTACAGTCCAGTGGGCTGCTTGATACTCCCCAGGGTTCAGCTGCCAGGTGCAGACCCCAAAGCTTCCAAACAGGTGGTCCGGGGAGAGGGCTCCCGTAGGAAAAAAAAATGCCTGTAGGCCAAAAACAGGTGGACCAATGCAAGGACCTGTTTCCAGTGTCAGGAAGAAGGAGGTGGAAGAGAGCCAGCCATGGCCGGGGCCTCAGATTCCGCATGGCTAACGAGCTTCGGGGAGATGCCACAGATGTCCGGAGACTGTCCTTTGAGTGGCAAGAGACAAGAGGAGGCAGGGCTCAGTTAGACTGCGGCCTGGGAAGGGGGAGCTTCTCCAAGCCCACCCTGCAGAGCCTGGCTCCCGCCCCTCTCATCCCCACACAGACCCACTCACTCACTGTGTGGCCTTGCCCAAGCCACACCGCCACCCTGATCCTCCGTGCCCGGGTCTGTGAAGCAGGGCAGGAACTCCCTGCCACCTGCCTGCCCTTTAGGCTGTAGGAATGATTCAACCACTTCAGGGGCCCGAGGCACCTCTGCCTGATACAAAAGGTGCTTCGGGAAATGTTGGAGATAAAAATCAGCACCTAGGCCTGGGCGGTGGCTCACGCCTGTAATCCCAGCACTTTGGGAGGCCGAGGCGGGCAGATCACAAGGTCAGGAGTTCGAGACCACCCTGGCCAACATAGTGAAACCCCATTTCTACTAAAAATACAAAAATCAGCCGGGCGTGGTGCCGCGTGCCTGTAATCCCAGCTACTCAGGAGGCTAAGGCAGGAGAATCGCTTGAACCCGGGAGGTGGAGGTTGCAGTGAGCCAAGATTGCGCCACTGCACTCTGGCCTGGGCGACAGAGCGAGACTCTCTTAAAAAAAAAAAAAAAAAAATCAGCACCTCAATTGAGGTGGGTGCTGTTAGAGTTTGGAAACAGTGTTCTTCACCATGTTGTGTGGGGGGCGACTGGGTATGTGGGGCGGGGCTGGGGGGTCTTCACTGAGCTCGATGGAGTGCAGGGCCTGGGGGGGACTGCACCATGGGAGGGATCCTCACTGCGGGGTGCTGGCTGCTGGGGTCCTGTCCAGGGGAGCCCTGCTGTGCGGTGGGGCCCAGCAGGCCGGCCCAGCTGCAGACCTTGTCCAGCTGGTCCCAGGGGAGCAGGGATGTTAGAGGCAGGGTGAGCGGAAGGCGCCTGAGCTGGTGTTCTCCATTTGAGGGAGGGGCTGCCTTGCTGTGGGGGTGGCAGAGACTCAACAGGACTCTGCGGCCATCTAAGGAAGGGCTATGCAGGGAGCCGTGAGAACAGCCCACTCTCCGTGTGACCTGGGTGGGGGAAGTGTCTGTTTTCTAGGCCTCAGTTTCCCTTCTGTGAAGTGGGGCAGGGAGGGGCTGGACTGGAGGGGCTGGAAGGACCCTCTTGGCTCCGTACTCATCCCACGATGAGCCAAGTCACCCTAGATCTTCCTCAATCTGAGTCGGGGGAGGGTAGAGGGGTGGAAGCATTTGGGCTCAAACCATTTATCCTGTGGCCTCAGAGAGCCCTGGGGATACATCCAGTCCGTGGTGGGGGTCTGGGCGGGCACGGTGGGGAGGCACTGCCAGACTCCCCCGAGGCCCCTGCGTGACCCACTCCTCTCTTGTCTCCTCATGGCTCCCGTGGCTGCCTGGATCCTGCAGAGCTCCCGAGTGAGGAAGGTGAGGCTGGCACCGGGATGGACCTCTAGGCCGCGGGCAGCATCCCTGGGTCGTTCTCTGTCTGGTCATGACTTCCTTCTCCCCGCTGAGTGAGGCCTTGCTGAGCTCCCCAGGATCACCCACCTGAGCCTCTCAGCGACCTGGGTTCTCCCTCTTCTGAGTGCAGGGAGGGAATGGGCCGGGAGGTCTCCCGGGCCATCCCAGCTCTGAGTGGGCAGGGTCAGTGGTGGGGGCCCAGCCTCACACATGACCCCCGTTCCCAGGGAAGTCCCTGTGGGAGCTGGTGCTGGAACAGTTTGAGGACCTCCTGGTGCGCATCCTGCTGCTGGCTGCCCTTGTCTCCTTTGTAAGTAGGGCCCTGCCAGCCATCCTGTGGTAGTCGGTAGCCCTGGAGGGAGAGCCAGGCTGGGCAGTGCTCCGAGGTCCTGGAGCCTGGGCCTGTCCTCCACACCCTGGGCCTGCGCCCTGGCCTTCCCTGGCCCTGCCCTGCTCAGACTTCAGCTTCCCTTGCCTGAACCCTCATGGCCCCTACATTGGGTCCCCGGCTCCCACCTGACCCCTCCAATCCATCTTATCCTCTGGCTCTCAGCGAGCTCCCCAACTCACATCTGCCCCCCGCCCCGCCCTGCTGTACCCTAGGGTTTCTCTGCCTCAGCACTACTGATAGTTTAGACCAGATCATTCTTTGTCGGGGTGGGGGTGGGGGCTTTCCACTGTAGGATGTTCAGCAGCATACCTGGACTCTACCCACAAGATGCCAGTAGCACCTCCCGGGGATGACCATCAAAAATGTCTTTAGACAGCTGGGCCTGACAGCTCATGATTGAAATCCCAGCACTGTGGGAGGCCAAGGCAATAAAATCGCTTGAGCCCAGGAGTTTGAGACCAGCATGGGCAACATAGGGAGACCCTGTCTCTACAAAAAATACAAAAACATTAGCCGAGTGCGGTGGTGCAGGCCTATAGTCCCAGCCACTCTGGAGGCTGAGGCAGGAGAATTGCTTGGGCCCAGGAGGATGGAGCTGCAGTGAGCCGTGATCACACCACTGCATTCCAGCCTGGGCAACAAAGCAAGACCCTGTCTCAAAAAAATTAAAAATGTCTTCGGACATTGCCAAATGCCCCTGGGGGGCACCTTGTCCCTGGCTGAGTGCTGCTGCCGGAGCCCCTTCCGTGGATCCCAGTGTCCCCCACATGGATTTTGGGGTCTGAACCTCTTGCAGCCTCCTCTTGGCTGCCGCATCTCCTTGCTGTTCCTCCATTCCCACTGATGCTCCCCTGGCTAATGGGCTTTGGATGCGTGCATCAGAATCACCTGGGCTTGGCTGGGCGCAGTGGCGCATGCCTGTAATCCTAGCACTTTGGCAGGCCGAGGCGGGTGAGCTCAGGAGTTCAGCCTGGGCAACGTGGTAAAACCCCGTCTCTACTAAAATACGAAAAATTAGCCAGGCGTGGTGGTGCACGCCTGTAATCCCATCTACCCGGGAGGCTGAGGCATGAGAATTGCTTGAACCTGGGAGGCAAAGGTTGCAGTGAGCCAAGATCCAGCCACCGCACTCCAGCCTGGGCGACAGAGCAAGACTCTGTCTCAAAAGAATCCGTAGGCTTGCCGACACACAGGTGACTGGGCCCCACCCCAGAATTTACGACTCAGGAGGTCTGGGAGGGACCCCAAGATCAACATTTCTTACAAGTTCCCAGCTGCTGCTGCTGCTGGTCTGGGGACCACACTGAGATGCTCTGCTCCAGGCAGACAGTAAGGCCTCGGTGGGCAGCCATCCAACTGCCCCACAGCCTTGAAGGTTGGCCTGGGTGGGGTGGTCACTCCTGTGGGGTGGGCACCCTGTGCCAAGGCCTTCTCGGAGGAGTGGCCCTCTCCAAGCCAAGAGCTCCCCAGTGCTATCTCCCCAAAGCAGGGAAGCAAGCAGGAGATCCGGGGTGCCAAGGAAAAGGAGAGCAGATCTCGGCCCGCAGCAGGGCCTGAGCTCACCAGCTGTGATCCTGCAGGTCCTGGCCTGGTTCGAGGAGGGCGAGGAGACCACGACCGCCTTCGTGGAGCCCCTGGTCATCATGCTGATCCTCGTGGCCAACGCCATTGTGGGCGTGTGGCAGGTGGGAGGCACTGGGGGTGGGACCGGGCGGGGGGCGGTCTCCCAGCCACTAGGAGTGCCCTCCACCTGGTGCTGGCGTCCTGCAGACTCTCCTGCTTCCACCTCCATCCCAGGCCCCAGAGGAGTCACTCCAAGGGGGTGGTCTGCGGGGGGCAGCAGGGACAGACTGCCTGCCGGCCTTCTATTCTGCAGGAACGCAACGCCGAGAGTGCCATCGAGGCCCTGAAGGAGTATGAGCCTGAGATGGGCAAGGTGATCCGCTCGGACCGCAAGGGCGTGCAGAGGATCCGTGCCCGGGACATCGTCCCAGGGGACATTGTAGAAGTGGCAGGTATGCCGGGGCCTCCTCCTTTTATTTTATTTTATTTTATTTATTTATTTATTTTATTTATTTATTTATTTATTTTTTGAGATGGAGTCGTGCTCTGTTGCCCAGACTGGAGTGCAGTGGCGCAATCTCGGCTCACTGCAACCTCCTGCCTCCCGGGTTCAAGCAATCCTCCTGTCTCAGGCTTCTGTAGGGGCCTCCTCCTTTTATTATGTGGGCCTGGGAGCCCCATCCCTCTCTGTGCCTCCGTCATTCCGGCCGTATATACAGAGGGGGTGGCTGTCGGATCCCTCCAAAGCCCTTTGGCCAAAACCCTGTTGGACAGATGAGACTGTGGGCCAGAGGGGCAGGGGTCACCAGAGCGATCACAGCTCAGGCACCCGACGCCCAGCCCCAGCCTTGGGTTCTGGGAACCCTTCTGGCTTTTCCCAGCTGGTGGTGCCCAAAGCCACCCTCAGCCAAGCCATTCTCCCCGCACAGTGGGGGACAAAGTGCCTGCTGACCTCCGCCTCATCGAGATCAAGTCCACCACGCTGCGAGTGGACCAGTCCATCCTGACGGGTGAGGCCCCCCCCAGGAGGCCGGGACCTAGTGGGCCAGGACTAAGGGATGGGCGTGTCTTCATGTGGGGCTTCTCATCTCTGATTCCCTGACCAGGTGAATCTGTGTCCGTGACCAAGCACACAGAGGCCATCCCAGACCCCAGAGCTGTGAACCAGGACAAGAAGAACATGCTGTTTTCTGTAAGTCAAATGTCTGGGGCCTTTGCCCAGACAATGATAAAAATAACAACATTAGGATTATGATCACGCCTGTAATCCCAGCACTTTGGGAGGCTGAGGTGGGTGGATCACCTGAGGTCAGGAGTTCGAGACCAGCCTGGCCAACATGGTGAAACCCCGTCTCTACTAAAAATACAAAAAGATTAGCTGGGGGTGGTGGCGTGTGCCTGTAATCCCAGCAACTTGGGAGGCTGAGGCAGGAGAGTCACTTGAGCCCGGGAGGCGGAGGTTGCAGTGAGCCAAGATTGTGCCACTGCACTCCAGCCTGGGTGACGAGAGCAAAACTCTGTCTCAAAAAAAAAAAAAAAATATTTTTTTTTCTGGCCCTGTTGCCCATGCTGGAGTGCAGTGGTACGATCTCGGGTCACTGCAACCCCCGCCCCCCAGGTTCAAGCTACTCTTGTGCCTCAGCTTCCCAAGTAGCTGGGACTACAGGCACCTGCCACCACACCCGGCTAATTTTTGTATTTTTAGTAGCAACAAGGTTTCACCACGTTCACCAGGCTGGTCTCGAACTCCTGACCTCAAGTGATCCGCCCACCTTGGCCTCCCAAAGTGCTAGGATTATAAGCATGAGCCACTGCACCTGGCCCAACATTAAGGTTAATCAGCTAAAGTCCTACGGGGAAGAACCTCATCGATTCTTGACAATACATGCAAATTTATAGTAATAATAATAGCTTGTGTTTACTGGGGACTGTGTGCCTGGCACTGTTCTAAGCTCTTTACACATACTAGTTTATTTAATCCTTAACACCAAATCTTTGAAATAAGTACTCTTGTTATGCTTGTTATCTATATTTTCCAGCAAGGAAAGAAACAAGCACAGAGAGATTAAGTAAGTTTCCCAAGGTCACACAGCCAATGAGTGGCACAGCTGGGACGAACTCAGACATCCTGGATTTCTGCTGGGAGACCCTGCCTTCCCCTGGAGAAGGGCAGAGCCTCCCTATAATCACTCGATAGAAATGCTCTAGAGGAAGGAGGTCTGCCAAAATGGTGGAGGATGGTGGGGGATACTCCATTCTCCGACAGGAAAACTGACCCACAAGGCATGATGCCCGGTCTACCTGGCTCTTCTCAGGGATAGTGATGGGTTCAGCTTTGGCGGGAGAGACCTGCCTCTGTGGCCTCAGAGAAAGCTAGCAAGTGATACTCACAGCTGCCCCGCAGTAGCCTGAGGCCAGCAAGGAGCGTTTAGGGGCACAAGGAAGGGTCAGGCCAGTCAGACAATGGCCCAGGCCACCAAGTTATCGGGGGATAGAAAACTTCCTGGAAGGGAAGAGGGATGAAGAAAGTGAAACTCACCCAGAACTCCTTTTTTTTTTTTTTTTTTTTTTTTTTGAGACAGAGTCTCACTCTGTCACCCATGCTGGAGTGCAGTGGCACAATCTCAGCTCACTGCAACTTCCGCCTCCCGAGTTCAAGCGATTCTCCTGCCTCAGCCTCCCAAGCAGGTGGGATTACAAGCACACACCACCGTGCCCAGCTAATTTTTGTATTTTACTAGAGACGGGGTTTCACCATGTTGGCCAGGCTGGTCCCAAACTCCTGACCTCAGGTGATCTGCCCGCCTTGGCCTCCCAAAGTTCTGAGATTACAGGTGTGAGCCACTGCACCTGGCCCAGAACTCTTCTTGAGAGGGGCCTACCTAGCTGCATAGAAGCCTTGGACAGGATGCCTTGGGGTGGGGAGGGAAGCTCTGAGAGCTGTTGCTCCAGGATCAGCAGCTGTCACTAAGAAGCTTTGGAGGGGCCGGGCATGGTAGCTCATGCCTATAATCCCAGCACTTTGGGAGGCCAAAGCAGGAGGATCATTTGAGCTCAGGAGTTTGAGACCAGCCTGAGCAACATAGTGAGACCTCGTTTCTACTAAAATTCAAAATTAAACAAAACAATTTTCTAAAGTAATAATAAAAAGAAGCTTTGGAGGAAGGTGTCTGGCTGGGCCCTGCATGTTGGGGGCTGGAGCTACGTTGCTTAAGACAGAAGAGAGGCTGGGGCCTGCCTTCTCGCCAGCCCCAACAGCATATGCATTTGAAGGGGCACCAGGTTCTTAGCCTCCTCAGAAAAACTATCTTGGGCCTGTGTTGGACCACTTTACAGAAGAGGACACCAAGCCACAAGGCTGGCTGTCCCTTATGCTAGGAATTGGGGATTTTACTGGAGCCTTGGAAATGGATGAGCTGAGGCTCAGGTTTTCTGGATTTTTTAGTAAATATTAATGGACTGTTTATTGGGTTCGTAGTCAGCTATGCTCCTGTGTGGCTATAGTGATTGTTTACGAAATCACATTTTGTGGGGTTGATGCTTGTGCTGCGCTGGTTGATTATATCATCAATATCAGCCCCCGTGCCTCCTCTGTGCCCGGCCCCGTGCTAGGCACTGGGGATACGGCGATGAACCCAAACCCTGCCTTCCTAGAGCTGACACTCTCATGGGAAGGCAGCAGGGACCCCGTGCATACATAGCTACAGGAGTCTGGAAGCACTAGCAACATGGAGAAAAGGAAAGCCGGGTAGAAGGATAAGTGCCTTATTCCGGCCTGAAGGAGTCAGGGGTCCTGGGCCCCTGGTTGGCTGCTGAGCAGCTTTTTCCTTGTCCCTCCCCTGGCCAGGGCACCAATATCACATCGGGCAAAGCGGTGGGTGTGGCCGTGGCCACCGGCCTGCACACGGAGCTGGGCAAGATCCGGAGCCAGATGGCGGCAGTCGAGCCCGAGCGGACGCCGCTGCAGCGCAAGCTGGACGAGTTTGGACGGCAGCTGTCCCACGCCATCTCTGTGATCTGCGTGGCCGTGTGGGTCATCAACATCGGCCACTTCGCCGACCCGGCCCACGGTGGCTCCTGGCTGCGTGGCGCTGTCTACTACTTCAAGATCGCCGTGGCCCTGGCGGTGGCGGCCATCCCCGAGGGCCTCCCGGCTGTCATCACTACATGCCTGGCACTGGGCACGCGGCGCATGGCACGCAAGAACGCCATCGTGCGAAGCCTGCCGTCCGTGGAGACCCTGGGCTGCACCTCAGTCATCTGCTCCGACAAGACGGGCACGCTCACCACCAATCAGATGTCTGTCTGCCGGGTGAGTGACGGCCAGCTTGGTGTTGCTGTGCGTTGCAGAGCAGGCTGGGCTCCCTCTCTGGGTCTCTCCCCCACCTCCTTTTCAGTGAGGGATGGAGGAGAGAATCTGTGGGCTGTCCCTTGGCCCAGAGCAGGTCCAGGTTTTCACAAGATGACAGGGAGACTATAGCAAATCATGCCTGGGTAGCCACATGTCACTGAGGCCTGTGTGTCACTGTGGGGCCCTGGCCAGGTTGCTGACAGTCTGTTAACCTCAGTCTCCTCATTGGAAGCCTGGCTGTGTGAGCCCTGCTAGGTAAACGTAAAGGACATAGGAGAGGCTCAAGTTCAGCCTTGGCATAGGGGCCAAGCTGGGCCTGGATCCGGGTTCCATCCTGCCCCATCATGACTCTGTGCAGTCGACACCTGTCACCAGATAAGCCAGCTCCGGTAACCTGGGAAGGGCCAGGGCAGGAATTATTCATTCCCTGCACTTCATCCCACATCCTGGGCTCACTGCCCACACGGCCAAGGGATTCTGGCTGAGACTTCAGCAGGCCCATGGGGCAGAAGGCTCCTCCTGACCCAGCAGATGGGTGGGTGGGGAGATGGTGAAGGCTATGTGTTCCCCACCCTTCCCAGGTCCCCAGTGCCTCTCTGTCACCCCTGCTTCCACATCTGCCCACTGGGCTTGGAAACCCAGGCTCTGTATTCTGAGACCCTAAGGCCTTCTGGGAGCCCATCAAAGGCTGCTTTAGGGGAGGGGTGCTACCGAGCTTTACTGTCCTGCTAAAAGCCCTCATAGGATTTTATTTAAACAGAGTGTTTCTTGACTAATAGCGATTTTTTTTTTTGAGGCAGAGTCTCATTCTGTTTGTTGTCTAGGCTGAAGTGCAGTGGCATGATCTGAGCTCACTGCAACCTCTGCCTCCCAGGTTCAAGCGATTCTCCTGCCTCAGCCTCCCAGGTAGCTGGGACTACAGACAGGCATGCACCACCACACCCAGCTAATTTTTGTATTTTAGTAGAGACGGGGTTTCACCATGTTGGCCAGGCTGGTCTATAACTCCTGACCTCAAGTGATCCACCCGCCTTGGCCTCCCAAAGTGCAGGGATTTCAGCCCTGAGCCACCGTGCCCGGCCCTAATAAATTTTTTTTTTTTTTTTTTTGAGATGGAGTCTCACTCTGTTGCCAGACTGGAGTGCAGTGGCACGATCTTGGCTGCAACCTCCGCCTTCTGGGTTCAGGCGATTCTCTTGCTTCAGCCACCCGAGTAGCTAGGACTACAGGCGCGTGCCACCACACCCAGCTAGTTTTTGTAGTTTTAGTAGAGATGGGGTTTCACCATGTTAGCCAGGATGGTCTCAATCAAGCTTGACCTCGTGATCCACCCGCCTCGGCCTCCCAAAGTGCTGGGATTACAGGCGTGAGCCACTGGGCCCAGCTAATAATAAAGAGTTTTAAAGTGCAGTGTGGGGAAGTTGTAGGGGCCTTACGTGCTGGATGCTGGGCTGTGCTTGCTGGGTGACTGCCCCCAGGAGTAGGGAGGAGAGCGGGAAGGAAGGGACACTTATGCATCTACTGGGCGCTGGGCTGGCCATTTGCTTGAGAATGTGCGGTGAGGCCATGTCCACGAAGCAAGAACTGTCTCCCCAGCAGAGCTGGCTGAACAGACAAAGAAATAGGCATGCTGGGCCAGGTAAGCCTCCTGTTCCTGAGGTGCACAGGTGGGGGCTGAGTGACCCAGCAGGCCCTGTGGCAGGGGCTCACTCTCTGGGGACATCTCTGGGCTAGAGGGGTCTGTGCCCCAGAGAGGCGTGTGGGTTTCCTCCCTTGAAGGCCAGGAACTCATTTCCTTGAAGGCAAAGGAGGGGGCGGTTCCCATGTTACTAGTGGAGAAACTGAGGCTCAGCTACTTGGCCAGGGATCGCACAGTGAGATGGGCAAGGACCCAGGCTTTCTGCCTAGCTCAGGGCTCCCTCAAGCTGGCAACTGCCCCCAGAGCACTGAAGAATCTGCCATAAATCCCTCAGAAGTCCAGGACATTGGGACAAACCGGAGCCGGACACATCTGGCAGAGCAGACGGTCCCTGCCTCAGCCTGGACCCTGCGTTCTATTTCCCTCCTGGTGGGCACGGACGGCCAGGCCGGTTTGGCCCTCGGTCGGGCAGGGGGCCTGCAGGACCCCACCCTGGGGTCGACTGGCCGCCCGGGGAGGAGGGAGGCGACCCCGCCCGCCTAAGCACGCCCCTGCGCTCCCCAGATGTTCGTGGTAGCCGAGGCCGATGCGGGCTCCTGCCTTTTGCACGAGTTCACCATCTCGGGTACCACGTATACCCCCGAGGGCGAAGTGTGAGTGCGGGGCCAGGGGACGCGCGGGCGGGCGGCCTGGGGGCGGGGCCACGCGTGGCGGCGCCGAGGTGGCCGTGGGAGGCCCCTGGGGGCGGGCCAGGAGGCGGAGCCTCTCCCGGGGCGGGGCCAGGAGGCGGAGCCCTTCTGGGGGCGGGGCCAAGAGGCGGAGCCCCCTCCTAGGGGCGGGGCCAAGAGGCGGACCCCTCTCGGGGGCGGAGCCGAGGTCCTCCTGGTGACCGCCCCGGCTCCGCAGGCGGCAGGGGGATCAGCCTGTGCGCTGCGGCCAGTTCGACGGGCTGGTGGAGCTGGCGACCATCTGCGCCCTGTGCAACGACTCGGCTCTGGACTACAACGAGGTGGGCCTCACCCCCTTTCATGACCTCCCTAGTATCCAGGCGACCAGGACAGACCCTTTTCCCAGCCTCAAAGCTCCCAGGGTTGGCAGCCCTTGCTCCCTGGAAGTGCCACACCCAGGGAGCACGGTTACCCCTGCACACCCCTCTCTGCCGCCCCTCCCTTTCCGCAGACAGGCTTCAGAACCCTCCCCCTGGGGCTCTTGGTCTGTGGGGGACTGCCATGGAAGGGGCTGAAGGGCTGGGGAAACCTGTGGGGGGAAGAGATTTGGGGAACAGGACCAAGAAAATGTTGAAAGCAGAAGACACAGCCCACAAAAGGCCCACGTTCAGTTAAAGCCTCCTGCGACTTAGGCATTCACGTGGCCGGGGCAGTGGAATGGGGCATGCAGCAGGCGTCTGCCCAAAGGGAGGTCCTTGGCCAGACCCAGTCCGAGGCCAAGCTGAGGGCAGTAGAGCACCAACGAAGAGTTTTGAGCAGGAGAGTGACATAGTCAGATGTGCATTTACAGAAGATCACTGAGGCTTCCGTGTGGAGGCCAGACAGACAGTAGAGGACCGAAGCCAGGGAGGCCTATGTGGTCATTCAGGCCAGAGAGATGCGGGCTGAGCCCTGGCTGGAGCCTTGGGGAGAGGGGAGAAGGTATGGGTCAGAGACATTTAGGAGCCAAAAATCCTGGGACTTGGTGACTGGTTAGGTGAAAGAGACAGGGAGGAAGCCAGGGGGGCTCCTGGTTCTTGTGCTGTCTGGGGCTGTCGCCGGAGTGGCAAATACAGAGAGTGGGAGAGGTGGCCTGAGGGGTCCCCGGGGAACAAGGTTCAGCAGGCAGCTGGACATCTGGGCTTGGGGCTCAGCAAAGGGCCCCAGGGAGAGCAGGTGGGAGGGTGGAAGCGGGCCCAGACAGCAGAAACCGGTGAAGGAGGCTGACAGGAAGTGGACAGAGATGCAGGCGGAGGGCAGGGACGGTGTGTGGCGATCAATGCCAGTGTGGGGGGCTGAATGTCAGTGTCAGACACCACCCCGACCCCAGGGCGGCCAGGCTGGGAAGGGCTCACGGGCCGGTGCAAAGGAGGTTACACGGAACTCCAGCAAAGGCAGCTGCAGGGGCAAGGAGTGAGTGAGGCTGGGGATGCGGGCTGGAGGCTGCCTGCCCCTCACTCCCTATCCCCTGGGTCCTTGCCAGGCCAAGGGTGTGTATGAGAAGGTGGGAGAGGCCACGGAGACAGCTCTGACTTGCCTGGTGGAGAAGATGAACGTGTTCGACACCGACCTGCAGGCTCTGTCCCGGGTGGAGCGAGCTGGCGCCTGTAACACGGTGAGCAGGGCTGGGGGCTCAGGCCTCCGGCTGCATGGCTGGGGCTTCTGGGACATCTGGAGAAGGCAGACAGGACACTGAAGTTTTTGTTTTGTTTCGTTTTGTTTTTTTTTTTTTTTGAGACGGAGTCTCATTCTGTCGCCCAGGCTTTAGTACAATGGTGCAATCCTGGCTCACTGCAACCTCTGCCTCCCGGGTTCAAGTGATTCTCGTGCCTCGACCTCCCGGCGCGTGCCACCACACCCGGCTAATTTTTGCATTTTTTAGTAGAGACAGGGTTTCACCATGTTGTCCGGGCTAGTCTGAAACTCCTGACCTCAGGTAATCTGCCTGCCTTGGCCTCCCAGAGTGCTGGGATTACAGGCGTGAGCCACCGCTCCTGGCTGACGGTGAAGTAAGACTTGGAGAAAAGAGGGGAGAAGGCTGCGTGTGGGCAAAGGTTTGGAGTTGGGCTGCACACAGCATGGTCAGCAAACGGCATCGTATTGCCATTTCTGGGGCTGGAGAGGGAAATGGAGGCCTTGAATGGTGGGGTCAGAGGAGTGTAGATGTCATCCCACACAGAGCAAGAGGCTCTCTTGGGGCCAAGCAGTTGGTGGGAAGGCAGGCGAGAGTTGCTGGCTCTGTCCTTCATGCCCTGACCTGCCTGGACCCCGCAGGTCATCAAGCAGCTGATGCGGAAGGAGTTCACCCTGGAGTTCTCCCGAGACCGGAAATCCATGTCCGTGTACTGCACGCCCACCCGCCCTCACCCTACTGGCCAGGGCAGCAAGATGTTTGTGAAGGTGGGGGCCTGCCTGGCTGGCCTGGGCCCCTGCGCGCCCTGGGGAACCTGGTCATCCACGCTCCTCTGTGAGCCCCAGTCCTCCCGTGTGAATGGCAGGGTTGGGTTACAAGTTCTCAGGAGCCCCTTTTGCCTCTAACCGGTGGTGTAGGGGTGGTTGGTGCCACCCTTGGTGCTCTGTGTTTTGGAAACTGAGTCCCAGGGAGGGAAAGGAATCGACTCCCTTGCAGACCACTGTCTACAGCGTCTCCGTTGCTGCTCCCAAAACCGAAGAGAGAAATACAGCTCTAGCTTCACCCTGCAAGGGAAGTTTAAACCCCTTTTGAAATGAAAAGGCTTCTGTACTGGGAGCTCGGGCCACTTGGAAAAGTCAGTGCCTGGGTGACCTTTTAGGAGCAGGAGAAGCCACTGAAGGAGCTTTAGAGGCTGTTCCTAGGCCCGGGGTGAGGTCTGAGGTGAGACCTGAGGCCACTGAGGGGCCTGTCATCCCTGGACCCCCTTCCCAGGGCTATGCCCGCCATACCCTGTGTATGGCTCTATTTCTGGTCCCCAGGCAGGGCTCAGCCTGCCTCCCTGCTGCTGAGGCCCCTACCAAATTGGAACCCGAGTAGCACCAGGGAAGCAGGGCCTGCAGGGGATGCCATTCTCACCCCTGCCTGCAAAACGCTGCAGTGCCCGAGTCTGCTGTGGGCTGGTGGGGGAAGGGCATCGCTAGGTTGGTGGCTGCCCCCACCCCAGCACACTCCCCCCATTCTCTTTAGATTGTCTCACAGGGGGACCCACTTGGTTCTCATTCTGAACTTTCAGTGAATGGATTCTGCTCCCTGCCTTGCGTGTGTACCCTTGGGTGGCCTTTGCCCGTATCTTAGTCTCAGTTTCCTGAGTTTGGGCAGGAAGGAGAGGAGGGGTTCTGACTGATGAGTTACCTCTTCTCCCTCTCCCCACCTCGCAGGGGGCTCCTGAGAGTGTGATCGAGCGCTGTAGCTCAGTCCGCGTGGGGAGCCGCACAGCACCCCTGACCCCCACCTCCAGGGAGCAGATCCTGGCAAAGATCCGGGATTGGGGCTCAGGCTCAGACACGCTGCGCTGCCTGGCACTGGCCACCCGGGACGCGCCCCCAAGGAAGGAGGACATGGAGCTGGACGACTGCAGCAAGTTTGTGCAGTACGAGGTGGGTGCAGGAGCCGATTCTCCCTGCAGTACGAGGTGGGTGCAGGAGCCAAGTCTCCCTGCAGCAGCTGAGCAGGTGGTAGGTCAGGGATGGGCTCAGGCCCCGCTTGAATCTGCCCCCTCCCTACAGACGGACCTGACCTTCGTGGGCTGCGTAGGCATGCTGGACCCGCCGCGACCTGAGGTGGCTGCCTGCATCACACGCTGCTACCAGGCGGGCATCCGCGTGGTCATGATCACGGGGGATAACAAAGGCACTGCCGTGGCCATCTGCCGCAGGCTTGGCATCTTTGGGGACACGGAAGACGTGGCGGGCAAGGCCTACACGGGCCGCGAGTTTGATGACCTCAGCCCCGAGCAGCAGCGCCAGGCCTGCCGCACCGCCCGCTGCTTCGCCCGCGTGGAGCCCGCACACAAGTCCCGCATCGTGGAGAACCTGCAGTCCTTTAACGAGATCACTGCTATGGTGAGGCCACAGCCTGGAGCCCCAGGAGGGGGTGATGAGTGGGGCCACGGGGTGTGAAAAGAGCAAGCCGTGCAACTCTCCCCTCTGCCTCATTCTTACCTTTTCTAACATCTTATTACCAAAAAATTCAAATACAAAAAGAAATTTAAATAATGTTATTCTGGGCCAGGCGCGGTGGCTCACACCTGTCATCTCAGCACTTTGGGAGGCTGAGGCGGGCGGATCAGTTGAGGTCAGGAGTTCGAGACAAGCCTAGCCAATATGAGGAAACCCCGTCTCTACTAAAAGTACAAAAATTAGCGGGGCGTGGTGGTGCATTCCTGTAACCCCAGCTACTCAGGAGGCTGAGGCAGGAGAATCACTTGAATCCGGGAGGCAGAGGTTGCAGTGAGCCGAGATCACGCCACTGCACTCCAGCCTGGGTGACAGAGTGAGACTTCGTCTCAAAATAATAATAATAACAATACTAATTTTATTCTGAACACCTACATGTCTATCATCTGGATTCTACAACTAACATTTTATTGTATTTGCTTTATCACATACCTGTCCATGCAGCCATTCTTTGCCCATCCCTAGCCCATCTTTTCTTAGGTGTATTTCAAAGTCAGTTGCAGACATCGGCATACTTCCCCCTCACCTACTTTAGAATACATGTTAACCAGAGAGCAATGTTGTTTGTGGTTCTGTTTTTCCTTTTTGAGGCAAAATTTGCCTTCGATGAAGCACACAGATCTTTGGCGTACTATCTGATGAGTTTAGGAACATGCACACACCTGTGTAACTCACAGCCTTATCAAGATAGGAAAATGCCAGGCATGGTGGCTCACGCTTGTAATTCCAGCACTTTGGGAGGCCAAGGCAGGAGGATTGCTTGAGCCCAGGAGTTTGAGACCCCATCTCTCCAAAAAAAAAAAAAACAAAAAACAAAAAAAAAAAGATATGACACATTACCATCAACCCATGAAGTTCCGTCACACGCCTTCCCCATCTCTGTCCTTCGTCGCAAAACAGGCGATCACTGTTTTCGGTTTTTTTTTTCACCGTATATGAGTTTTATCTGCCCTAGATTTTCAAATGAATGGAATCATACAGTATGGACTGTTTTGGTTTGGGGCTTTTTTGAGATCTATCTGCCTTGTCGTATCAGATTATTGCTTTTTTTTTTTTTTTTTTTTTTTTTTAGACAGAGTCTCGCTCTGTCACCCAGGGCTGGAGCGCAGTGGCACGATCTCGGCTCACTGCAACCTCCGCCTCCCAGGTTCAAGCGATTCTCCTGCCTCAGCCTCCTGAGTAGCTGGGACCACAGGCGCGCACCACCATGCCCAGCTAATTTTTTTATTTTTAGTAGAGACGGGGTTTCACCACATTGGCCAGGATGGTCTCAATCTCTTGACCTTGTGATCCGCCCGCCTCAGCCTCCCAAAGTGCTGGGATTACAAGTATGAGCCACCGCGCCCGGCCTATTGCTTTTTTATTGTTGAGTAGCATTCCACTGTGTGAATATTTCAGTTTATTGAACCATTCCTCTTTGGATGGACATTTAGTTTGGGCCTAGTTTTTGTTCTTAATTGCTGACCTATTCTTCTGACCTCAGCCTCTCCCCTGACCTGGTCTCTGTTTTTAATCTTGACCTCCAGCCTAACCCAGTCCTTAACCCTGACCCATGGCCCAGCCTTGATCTGCACACCAAGCTTGACTATCACTGCAGCCTGGTTCTTGATCTTATCTTTGACCTCTGTGCTGACTTTGTCCCTGACCTTGATGTTGACCCTCATCTTAATCTAATTCTTTTTTTGTTTGTGTGATGAGGTCTCACTCTGTTGCCCAGGCTGGAATGCAGTGGCACAGTCATGGCTCACTGAAGCCTCATCCTCTCGGGCTCAAGAGATCCTCCCACCTCAGCCTCCTGAGGAGCTGGGACTACAGGCATGCACCACCATGCCTGGCTAATTTTTTAATTTTTTGTAGAGATGAGGTCTCCCTATGTTGCCCAGGCTAGTCTTGAACTCCTGGATCAAGCAATCCTCCTGCCTTGGCCTCCTAAAGTGCTAGGATTACAAGTGTGGGCCACCACACCCAGCCCGACATAACTATTTACGTTGAGCTTAACCCTGATATGAATTCCAGTCTTGGCCGGGCACGGTGGCTCACGCCTGTAATCCCAGCACTTTCGGAGGTTGAGGCGGGCAGATCACCTGAGGTCAGGAGTTTGAGACCAGCCTAGTCAACATGGTGAAACCCTGTCTCCACTAAAAATACAAAAATTAGCTGGTGCATGCCTATAATCTCAGCTACTTGGGAGGCTGAGGCACGAGAATTGCTTGAACCTGGGAGGAGGAGGTTGCAGTGAGCCGAGATTGTGCCATTGCACTCCAGCCTGGGCGATAGAGTGAGACTCTGTCCCCCACCAAAAAAAAAGAATTCCAGTCTTGACCTGGACCAAGACCTTATTCTCAACGTTGACCTTGACACTGCCCCACCCCCAATGTAATGCTTTATGTTGACCTCAACTTTGATCTGGCCTTCAATTTTTTTAGATGGAGTCTCACTCTGTTGCCCAGGCTGGAGTGCAGCAGTGCAGTCTCGGCTCACTGCAACCTCCGCCTCCCGGGCTCAAGCGACTCCCCTGCCTCAGCCTCCCATGTAGCTGAGATCATAGGCACGCGCCACTGCGCCCAGCTAATTTTTGTATTTTCAGTAGAGATGGGGTTTCATCATGTTGCCCAGGCTGGTCTTGAACTCCTGACCTCAGGTCATCCACCCACCTCGGCCTCCCAAAGTGCTGGGATTACAGGCGTGAGCCACCGCTCCTGGCCTGGCCTTCAGTTTGACCTTGATTGCAACTCCAGACTTCATGTCACTTGACTTCACTCCTCATGTGGACCTTGACTTGGCCTCTGCCTTTGCCTTGATCTTCAACTTGACTACAACACCTACCTGGCTCTTTACCCGGGCCATCCCCTTGACTTCATTCCTGACTTGACCTCAGCTTTCTCCCTAACCTCAGTTTCATCTTCTACCCCACATCCAACCTCAATTTCATCCCTACCCTCATCGCTGACTCACCGTCATCCCCATCCCCACCTCATCATCTTCCCTAACCTCATGCTTGATATTCTCCCCAACTTTGTCCTTGTCTGCATCCCTTGCCTTCTCCTCAGCCTCATCCTCTGCCCAATTTCTAGTTCATTCTTGAACCCACCATTTGTTCTGTCTAACTGTCTGCTTCCTTTGGAACATCCCCTAAGATTGGGGGTGGGCTGAGTTGAGAAGAGATGGGGAGGTGGAAGGGAAGTTTCTCAGGCACAGCCCTACCTGACCTGGCCCACAGACTGGCGATGGAGTGAACGACGCACCAGCCCTGAAGAAAGCAGAGATCGGCATCGCCATGGGCTCAGGCACGGCCGTGGCCAAGTCGGCGGCAGAGATGGTGCTGTCAGATGACAACTTTGCCTCCATCGTGGCTGCGGTGGAGGAGGGCCGGGCCATCTACAGCAACATGAAGCAATTCATCCGCTACCTCATCTCCTCCAATGTTGGCGAGGTCGTCTGGTGAGGCCGGGCCTTCCCTCCTCTCAGCCCTCTCAATCCGCTCTGTGCCCCTGAGATGGGGAAAACGCCTGTTCCTCGGATGCGCTGCAGGGATGGAGGGGCCTGTGCCCTGCCCTGGCTGGGGCTTTCCAGGGTCCCACCTTGGAGTGGACAGGGGAGAGCACCTCTTGTCATTCTCCAGAGGCCCTGGTGACCTATGGATCATGGTCACCCCAGCACCCACGGAGGTGCCTGAAGAGTCGCCTGTCAGCCCTCCAGCCATGAACTTCCCACTTGCAGATTAGCAAGATGAGAGAAAAGCCCCACCTTTAGGCAGTCGTGTGTGTGTCCGTGTGCGAATGTGTATTTGTGTGCACATGGCCTGAGTGCCTGAGTGAGAGGTGTGTGTAATGTGTATATTTTGCATGTGTGCTCTGGTGCATTTTGAGCGTGAGTACAAGCAGAAGGATTTGTGCCGGCGTGTGACTGTGCACACACTCGTATTCACATGTGAGGATGCCTGTGGGGAATGGTGAGCGTGTGTGTTGCTGGACATGGATGGATTCTGCATCTCTGCACCTCAGGGCAGATATGTAGGTGTTTGCTTGTGTTTGCCGGATGGTGTGGCATGTGCTAGGTTTTTGCACATGTCTGATTCTTGGGCATGCCCTCTTCGTGTGCGTGTGTGTGTGTGTGTGTGTGTGTGTGTGTGTGTACTTGGCCTCTGCTAGGCCTAAAGAGCAGGTATGTCCAGGATCCAGAGCTGGGACTGGGGAAGGCAGGACTGGCCAGGCCCGAGGCAGAGCTGTGTACACACACCCTTCACATCACAGCTGGCGGAGGGAGGAGGGGCTGCTGTGGAGACAGTGGGTGGGTGAGCTCCCAGCCTTGGGTCTGAGCAGGAGCTGGAGCCTGCATCTGCCGGGGGCTAGGCCTACCGGGGCTAGAGCTCATGACTCTGTTCCAGCATCTTCCTCACGGCAATTCTGGGCCTGCCCGAAGCCCTGATCCCTGTGCAGCTGCTCTGGGTGAACCTGGTGACAGACGGCCTACCTGCCACGGCTCTGGGCTTCAACCCGCCAGACCTGGACATCATGGAGAAGCTGCCCCGGAGCCCCCGAGAAGCCCTCATCAGTGGCTGGCTCTTCTTCCGATACCTGGCTATCGGAGGTGAGTGGGGCCTGAGCCCTCCGTGGAATTCCTAAGCTTCCTAAGAGCCTTGTATCAGGCTTGCAAGCTGCAGACAGTGTGACTCAGCCTGGCTTGTGCCAGTAGAAACTGTATGAGCTCATGTAATGGAAAAGACCAGGCATGGCGGGATCTGGGTCTCAGTATCACTGGCATATTTTGGCACTGCCTCAGCTTCATTCTCAGGCCCACGTCCCTCATGGTGGCAGAATGGCTGCTGCAGCCCCAGCCCTCTGCTCACTCCATTACAACCCCAAATTCAGCAGAAGAGAGAGTCTTTTATCATGCTGCTCTCCCGGTAGTATGATAAGAATCTCAGGCCTGGGCTGGGCATGGTGGCTCACACTTGTAACCCCAGCATTGTGGGAGGCCGAGGTGGGCAGATCACTTGAGGTCTGGAGTTTGACCAGCCTGGCCAACATGTGGCTCACACCTGTAACCCCAGCACTTTGGGAGGCCGAGGCAGGCAGATCACCTGAGGTCAGGAGTTTGAGACCAGCCTGGCCAACGTGGTGAAACCCCATCTCTACTAAAAATACAAAAATTAGCTGGGCATGATGGCAGGTGCCTGTAATCCCACCTACTCGGGAGACTGAGGCAGGAGAATCGCTTGAACCCAGGAGGCAGAGGTTGCTGTGAGCCGAGATGGCACCATTGCACTCCAGCCTGGGCGACAGAGTGAGACTCCGTCTCAAAAAAAAAAAAAAAAAAAAGTCTCAACAGGCCTGTTCTCATTGGCCCACATAGGGTTCACCTGCTCATCTCCAAGCACTGGGGCCAAGGGTATGGCAGATGCTGATTGACCAGCCAGGGCCCACCACTGGCATCGAGGGGAGGTGCCTGCAAACCACAGGGCTGAGAGAGGAAAAGGGTGGCTCCCTGCAGGGAATTCAGGGAATTATTAGGCAGGGGAAACAGACGCCAGAAAACCACCGCCATTCTCTACAGCCGGTCTCCTCCCTTCCCCGCAGTGTACGTAGGCCTGGCCACAGTGGCTGCCGCCACCTGGTGGTTTGTGTATGACGCCGAGGGACCTCACATCAACTTCTACCAGCTGGTGAGCAAGGGCTGGCCAGGGAGCCTGTTGAACTTACAGCTCGAGTTGTTGGAGTTCCAGGGGAGATGGGTCTAGAGCCGCATGGGTGGCCTGCAGTGTCCTTCCCCACTCGCTATACACGAATAAACATCCCCACCTGGGGAGCCGAGCTCAGAGCCCACGGGAAACCCAGAGACACCAGCACGGACCCCCAAGCCAAAGGCGCCTCCCCATCCCAGTCAGTTAGCGGGGACCAAGAGGCCTCACTGCCAGATGTATCTTACCTTTGTCAAGGGACCCCTAAAACGTTGAGGCCTCAGAGGAATGAGCCCCTAAATGGTGGGACTTTAGGCAGAGGGTCAAACTGAGGAGATCAAGAATGGAGGGGAGGGCTGGGCACGGTGGTTCACGCCTGTAATCCCAGCACTTTGGGAGGCCGAGGTGGGTGGACCACCTGAGGTCAGGAGTTCGAGACCAGCCGTCCAACGAGGTGAAACCCCGTCTCTATTAAAAATACAAACATTAGCTGGGCGTGGTGGTGCACGCCTGTAATCCCAGCTACTCAGGAGGCTGAGGCAGTTGAATCACATGAACCTGGGAGGCAGCGGTTGCAGTGTGCCAAGATCATACCACTGCACTCCAGCCTGGGTGACAGAGCAAGACTCCATCTCAAGAAAAAAAAAAAAAAAAGAATCGAGGGGAGGCTGGGCATGGTGGCTGACGCCTGTAATCCTAGTACTTTGGGAGGCCAAAGTACTTGAGCCCAGGAGTTTGAGACCAGCCTGGGCAATACAGTGAGACCCCATCTCTACCAAATAAAAATAAAAATGAACCAGGCACGGTGATGTGTGCCTGTAGCTTCTTGGGAGGCTGAGGTGGGAGGATCAGTTGAGTCCAGGAGGTCACAGCTGAACTGAGCCGTGATCACACCACTGCACTTCAGCCTTGGTGACAGAGTAAGACCCTGTCTCTAGAAAAAAAAAGAACACATCCTGCCGCGGTGGCTCACGCCTGTAATCCCAGCACTTTGGGAAGCCGAGGTGGGCGGATCACTTGAGGTCAGGAGTTCAAGACCAGCCTGACCAACATGGTGAAACCCTGTCTCTACTAAAAATACAAAAATTACCCAGGTGTGGTGGCGGATGCCTGTTTTCCCAGCTACTCGGGAGGCTGAGGCAGGAGAATCGCTTGAACCCGAGAGGCGGAAGTTGCAGTGAGCTGAGATCGCACCACTGCACTCGAGCCTGGGAGACAGAGCAAGACGCAGTCTCAAAAAAGAAAAAAAGAAAAGAAAAGAAAACCAAACCAAAGGGGGTCTTGCAGGACACAGGGAATAGGACATAGGCAGGCAGGCAAAGGGAAGGAGTGGGCACAGCAGTGGCCTCACCAGTAGAAATGGGCTCCTCCAGGGCTTCCCCATGTGCCTGTGAGGCAGAAGCTCCAGCCCGACGCACTGTCTTTTTTTGTTTGTTTGTTTGAGATGGAGTCTCGCTCTGTCACCCAGGCTGGAGTGCAGTGGTGCAATCTTGGCTCACTGCAACCTCCACCTCCCGGGTTCAAGTGATTCCCCTGCCTCAGCCTCCCCATTAGCTGGGACTACAGGCGCCCACCACCATGCCCGGCTAATTTTTTGTATTTTAGTAGAGACAGGGTTTCACCATGTTGGCCAGGATGGTCTCGATCTCCTGACCTCATGATCCGCCCGCCTCAGCCTCCCAAAGTGCTGGGATCACAGGCGTGAGCCACGGCACCCGGACCCCAGCGCACCTTCTAATGAATAATTCCAGAGGCCACACCGAGACCTATGACCTGGGGAATACTGTGTGTGTGTGGCAGGTGCTTGCTGGTGAAACCCAGAAGGTCTGCACTGGGCAGGGCATTTACAGCAAGAGCAACAGACCCATTGAAACATATTTATTTATTTATTTATTTGAGACAGAGTCTCGCTCTGTCACCCAGGCTGGAGTGCAGTGGCGCGATCTCAGCTCACTGCAACCTCCGCCTCCCGGGTTCAAGCGATTCTCCTGCCTCAGCCTCCCGAGTAGCTGGGATTACAGGCACCCGCCATCATGCCTGGCTAATTTTTGTATTTTTGTAGAGATGGAGTTTCACCATGTTGGCCAGGCTGGTCTCGAACTCCTGACCTCAGGTGATCTGCCCGCCTTGGCCTCCCAAAGTGCTGGGAATACAGGCGTGAGCCACCGTGCCCGGCCGAAACATCCTGACATGATCTTGTTGGTATTTTCTTCTCTGTGTAGACGCATAAGCGTCTTAAGCATTCACATGCCCGAGTGGGAGGTGTGTGTCCCTATGTTTGTGTGTACATGTATGGATAGGCCATTAAGATCTGGCAGGGTGAGGCCCGACAACAGTGGCACAATTGGCAGGAGGATTTGGTCCTCTCGGTCACTGGGTGGGTAGAGTCAGGTTCAAAGTTCTGGAGGTTTTCCCTTCTCTATGATCAGCACCAAATAGAAACGTGTGGCTGCTCACGCCTATAATCCCAGCACTCTGGGATGCCAAGGCGGGCAGATCACTTGAGCCCAGGAATTTGAGAGCAGCCTGGACAACATGGCGAAACCCCGTCTCTACAAAAAAGACAAAACTTAGCCAACAGTGACGGCTCAGGCCTGGAGTCTCAGCTACTTGGGAGGCTGCGGTGGGACAATCACCTGAGCCCAGGAAGTCGAGGCTACAGTGAGCTGAGATCGTGCCACTGCACTCCAGCCTGGGTGATGGGAGTGAGACCTTGTCTCAAAAACAAAACAAGGCCAGGCACAGTGGCTCACGCCTGTAAGCCCAGCACTTTGGGAGGCCGAGGCGGGTGGATCACTTGAGGTCAGGAGATCGAGACCAGCCTAGCCAATATGATGAAACCCCGTCTCTACTACAAACACAAAAATTAGCCACGGGTGGTGGCGGGTGCCTGTAGTCCCAGCTACTCAGGAGGCTGAGGCAGAAGAATCGCTCGAACTTGGGAGATGGAGGTTGCAGTGAGCCAAGATCACGCCACTGCACTCCAGCCTCGGTGACAGAGTGAGACTCAGTCTCGAAAACAAAAACAAAACAAAACAAAATAAAAAGAAAACAAGACATATCCACTTGCCTCAAATGCTGGAGCTTGAGTTTTGGAGAAAACGTCCACTATCGATTTAAGAGATTATCAGATTCTCTATCTCTTTGTTAAAATATCTAGCCAGGCTTATTTCTCTTCCTGCACGAGAGAGGAGAAACGATACTCAGAGTGGCCTTATCTGCATTTGTGCAGTGTGGGAAAACGGATGTATTTATGCGACAGACAGTAGATCAGACAGCCGGGCATTTTACACGTTTTTCTTTGAGGATTATGTTCACAGCACATGGCCCCAATTTCTAATTTAAAAGATCTCCATGGCCGGGCGCGGTGGCTCACGCCTGTAATCCCAGCACTTTGGGAGGCCAAGGCGGGCGGATCACGAGGTCAGGAGTTCTAGACCATCCTGGCTAACACGGTGAAACCCCGTCTCCACTAAAAATACAAAAAATTAGCCGGGCGTGGTGGCGGGCGCCTGTAGTCCCAGCTACTTGGGAGGCTGAGGCAGGAGAATGGCGTGAACCCGGGAGGCGGAGCTTGCAGTGAGCCGAGATCATGCCACTGCACTCCAGCTCGGGTGACAGAGCGAGACTCTGTTTCAAAAAAAAAAAAAAAAGAAAAAAGATCTCCATGTTCAGATTAGACTCCCAAGAGCAGGATCTATATTTTTGGTGAACTAAGCTGGTTAACGGTTGGAAACATTCACCCTCATCCCTATAATATGGAAGAGAACAAGACAAGTTCCCCCAATACCCTCCGTTCAGCCTCTTAGCACGATTCTGTGAACAAGGTTTTTGAGCAGTAAGAAAACTCCCCTGAGGCTATAGGGGTTATCAGCCCTGAGCGCTTCATGTTAATTACAGAGAAGCTACCTGTTACAGCTGCACCTTGGCAATTCATTAGTCTCTGTCAGAAGCACACATCAGATCTGATAGAGTTCAGTTTCAGTGGCAGAAATGGAGTGAGGTATGAGGTGTAAATGGAATTTTTTTTTTTTTTTGAGACAGAGTCTTGCTCTGTCACCCAGGCTGGAGTGCAGTGACGCGATCTCTGCTCACTACAACCTCTGACCCCCGGGTTCAAGTGATTGTCCTGCCTCAGCCTCCCGAGTAGCTGGGATTACAGGCACGCACCACCACGCAGGCTAATTTTTGTATTTTTAGTAGAGACGGGGTTTCACCATGTTAGCCAGGCTGGTCCCAAACTCCTGACCTCAGGTGATCCACCCGCCTCCGCCTCCCTGGGATGACAGGCATGAGCCACCACGCCCAGCTGTAAATGGAATCTTAATAACAGTGAACAGGGCCTGCGTAGCCTTCATCTTCTATACCGCAAAGGTGAATTCCACTCCCGCATGGTTTTGTTGGTTGATTTTCACATGCATTTCCCTATTCAGTGATCTCCAGGCTCCCGCTAGCCTCCCCAGGCTAATGCCAGCTGTTCTCCTTCTGAGCCGCTGCACTCCTGCTCCAGAACGTCTGCCTTTCCCACGCTGTGCCCTTGCTTCTCCCTGGCACGGTGCAGCTCTCCCCACCGCCGCCCCGACCCCGCACCCCTCCCGGGATCCCCAGCCCACCCCACGGCAGTGTTTTGTGTGCTGGTTGTGCCCAGGCGTGGGCCAAGGGCAGGATGAGGCTTCCCTCCTCCCACCCACCAGCCCCTCGCCTGACCTGCCGCTCTCTCTGACCTGCCACGGTGCCCCCAGAGGAACTTCCTGAAGTGCTCCGAAGACAACCCGCTCTTTGCCGGCATCGACTGTGAGGTGTTCGAGTCACGCTTCCCCACCACCATGGCCTTGTCCGTGCTCGTGACCATTGAAATGTGCAATGCCCTCAACAGGTAGGCTGGGCGCAGGGCCTGGAGCTGGGGCCGAGGAGTGGGGGCTGAGGGCTGGGGGTTCCAGTATCAGTGTCTGAGGGTCAGGGGTCCAGGTGGGCTGGGCGCAGGGCCTGGAGCTGGGGCCGAGGAGTGGGGGCTGAGGGCTGGGGGTTCCAGTATCAGTGTCTGAGGGTCAGGGGTCCAGGATTGGGGTCTGTGGGTCAAGAGGGTCCAAGATTGGGGTCTGATGTTTGGGGGGTTCAGGATTGGGATCAGAGGTTCAAGGGGGTCCAGGATTGGGGTCCAGAGGTCAAGAGCATCCCAGACTGGGGTCTAGGGGTCAAGAGAGGTCCAGGATTGGGGTCTGGGGTCAAGGGGTTCAGGTTGGGGTCTGATGTTTGGGGGGTTCAGGATTGGGATCAGAGGGTCAAGGGTCCAGGATTGGGTTCCAGGGGTCAGGGGAGTCCAGGACTGAGGTCTGGGAGTTAGAGGGGTCCAGAACAAAGGTCTGGGGCCAAGCGGGGTCCAGGATTAGGGTCTGGGGGTCAGTGGGGGTCCAAGATTGGGATCCAAAGATTTGGGGATCTGGATTGGGGCCTAAGGGTCAAAGGGGCCCAGAGAGGATTCTGAGAGTTCATGGGGACCGGAATTGGGGCCCAGGAGACAAAGAAGGCTGAAACTGGGGTCCAAAGAAATCGGCCAAGATTAGGTCTGAGGGGCAGAGAAAGGGGTCCCAGCCCGGGACAGGCCCTGGCAGGCCGAGCGGGCAACAGCAATGCACCGCTAGAGAAGTGGTGAGGCTCCTCCCATGGGGGTGGGTGCCTGGCAGGGCCTCCCTGCACCCCGGCCTAAGGGGAGCACCCTGTGCCCTGGCAGCGTCTCGGAGAACCAGTCGCTGCTGCGGATGCCGCCCTGGATGAACCCCTGGCTGCTGGTGGCTGTGGCCATGTCCATGGCCCTGCACTTCCTCATCCTGCTCGTGCCGCCCCTGCCTGTGAGTCACCCCGCCTGCCCCACTGCCCTGGTCCCTGGACATCACAGGCCCTGGGCTGGTCACTGGACCTCTCTGGCCCCCCTGCAATGGAAACTACCTGGAGGAGAGGGAGGTGAGAGGTCTGGCCAGCCACCACCTCCAGCTGTGGCCCCACCTTCAGGAGCTCCCAGACCTGGGGGACGGAAGAGGGGGAAACCCCTTGCTGAGGGGACTGTGCCCAGGCTGGGGTGGGAGGAAGGACGAGCTTTCCCAGGGCAGAATCCTCCCGCCTCCCAACAGGATGGATGGGAGTTGACCCAGTGGGCAAGGGCAGAGGTGGGCCCTTGAGGCAGAGGAAGCTGAGCGGACAAAGATTGGGGGGTGCAGCTGAACAGACAAAGATCGGGGGGTGCAGCTGAGTGGACAAAGATCGGGGGTGCATCCAGGGGGTTCTTAGGAGCGCTCATGAAGAGTCCATCAGAGCCCAGGTGGATAAGGCCAGCAGATGGCTGGGGCACGGGACAGCCAGTCCTTCCTTTAACCAAACCTCCCTTCCCCTCCCCGCCAGCTCATTTTCCAGGTGACCCCACTGAGCGGGCGCCAGTGGGTGGTGGTGCTCCAGATATCTCTGCCTGTCATCCTGCTGGATGAGGCCCTCAAGTACCTGTCCCGGAACCACATGCACGGTGAGTGGGAGGCCCCGTCCCGCCTCCAGCCTGCCTCCCCGCCCGCCTCTGCTCCTGGGCTGCAGTGGACGCTGTGGGTGTGGAGCGCAGAGCCTCTCTGTCTGCACATCGGGGAGGCGTTCTCGGATCACCAAGTGGAGGGTGTGAAGGGGCTCTGGTGGCTGGGTCCCAAGGTGTCCGCAGGGTCTTGCACTGCAGGGGACCTGGGCTCACTGGGCCAGCAACGGGAGCACCTCTTGGGCCACACTGCCTCACTGTCTTCACCTGCCACCCCCTACATGGCCAGGGCACTGTGTGCTCTTCTGGGCCTCAGCCTCTGACCCCTCTGCACCCAGCCTGTCTTTATCCAGGCCTTCTCAGGACAGTCTCGCAGGCCTGGAGTAGGCAGCCGCTGACCACCTCTTGGACCCCAGACCACACCGGGTTGGCCTCTTTGGTATCACCTTGTGGGTGGGTCAAGGGGAGGGTTGTTTCTGAGCTCACAGCTCTGGGTCTGCCTTAACCCCGGAGTGGAGAGGACAGGATGGCAGGTGTCGGGCTGGAGAGAAGTGGGCTGGGACATGGGGTCCATCCACCTGCCTCTGCCAGGTGGGCTCTGAGAGTGGGTGATTCTGAACTTCCAAGGGCCAGGGACACAGCATCGTCTCGCTGTCAGAGCTGCTCAGAGAGGGAGGAAGCAGGGGTGAGCTCCGGTTCCTGGGAATTTGCGCAGAGGCGGTGGCCGTATGGCTGGACTGCTGTGCAGGGGCCTAGGTTGGGCTGGGCAGTGGCTGAGGCCTGCACTGGGGCAGCTGGGTCGTTGGGGGCCACCTCTGGCAGGAATGTGCCCCAGGGGAGTGGGTGGAGGGACTATAAATAGATCACGCGTCTGTCATTCCCTAGGGGCTGAGCAAGGGAGCTGGCCTGTCCAGGGAGTGGCCAGACACATGTAGGGGCTCACTCGAGGGTGCAGGTGGGCACTCAGCCAAGGCAAGCCTGCTGGGGCCAATGGGTGGGGGTGGGGGGAGCTGAGCAAGGCCATTCTGCCCCCTGTCTGGTTCTTTCTGGCCAATGCTCTGTGACAGCCCTGGGGAGACACTGGAAACTCCCATCCATGGGGGCCCAAGGCATCCCTGCACTGGCCGGAGCACCGGGCCGGTCCGCCAGGAAATCCTCCAGCCGCCCTTGACCACACTCACTCACCTGCACAGCCAGGCCTCTGGGCCGTCCTTGACCACACTCACTCACCTGCAGAGCCAGGCCTCTGGGGACATGACAGCTCAGGTGGCTTGTCTTCCTCGGGAGAGTTCCCAAATGGCCACAACTGCCTAGGAGCTCAGCAGATTTTCTTGAGAAAACTTAAAAGTGAGAAAATTATGCCCATGGCTAAAATGTCTCAGCCAGCACGGAAAAGCCTGTGTCTCAGATGCCTTTCAGCATTGGCTGCTGGATGGTGGAGGATTCCCCAGGCCTAAAGAGCGGGAGGGTCCTAGCGGGAGGGGACAGGCTAGGAGGGCTGGGAGGGAGAGATTCCTGCTGGGCCAGGAGTGAGGGGGAGTTTCTCCAGGCTTTGAGGTTAAAGCAGTGGTTGGAAAGAACAGGATTGAACCTGGTGGAACAGGGCTGGGTGAGCACAGATGTTGACACTCAGCATGCAGGGCAGAGGGGTGAGGCCCGGCAGGGGCAAGGGCCTTGAGTGCCAAGGTAGAGACCCTGGACATTGTCCTCAGGGCAGTGGGGAAGCACGGGAGGAGTGTAAGCACGGTGCGGACTGTGTCAACCATGGAGGACAGGCAAGAGGGGGTGAGACTAACGGGCCGGGTGCAGTGGCTCACACCTGTCATCCCAGCACTTTGGGAGGCCGAGGTGGGCAGATCACCTGAGTCAGGAGTTAGAGACCAGCCTGGCCAACATGGTGAAACCCCATCTCTACTAAAGATACAAAAATTAGCTGGGCGTGGTGGCAGGTGCCTATAATCCCAGCTACTCGGGAGGCTGAGGCAGGAGAATCACTTGAACCTGGGAGGTGGAGGTTGCAGTGAGCTGAGATTGAGCTACTGCACTCCAGCCTGGGTGACAGAGCAAAACTCTGTTCCCCCACTCTCCCCCAAAAAGAGAGGGTGAGACTAACACCAGGAGGTGGGCGAGCGGCATTGAACAGATCTGGGGAGCTGGCCCCAGAAAGCACCTCCACCTCCACCTCCTTGAGATGTTGACGGTGGTCCCTGTGAAGTTTGGCTTGGAAAGGTGGTGCCTGGCTGCTGGAGGACAGACACAGGCTGGGTACCTGCGGCTCCATCTGAGGGGTGGGGTGGAGGCACCCCGAGGAATGTGCTCACTGGAAGCCCAGACAGCCCTGCCCAGCGCTACTGCAGTCCCTGGGGCCTCCTAAAGCCAGACGGGGCGGGGGTGAGAGAGGGACCCTTTGCGCTCCCAAGCCAGCTGGGTGGCCTTTTAGGGAAGTTTTTCTGAAGCCTGATGCTTGTGGCTTCCCCGTGATTTATGTCATTTACGAGGGATGTGTCCTGGGGAGAATTCTGGATCCTGGGTCAGCCCTGGGGGCTGGGGGCGGTCCTCTCACCCCACCTCCTGGCTCTGCCCAGGTGTGGCTGAGCAGTTGTCAGGGGAGGCGTGGGGGCTGGGCTGTGGTGGTTGTATTGGGGACAGATCTGGGAGGTTACAGGCGGGCTTAGACTTTACTCTGAGGACAGTGAGGAACCATGAAATGGGGTGTTGGGACTGGATTTCGGCTTTTGCTTGATGCTAGGGGCAGAAGTATGATGGGACGGTAAGACTGGGGCTGGGGGCAGGGCGGCAGGCCTTGAGGCCTTGAGGCCTGGTTGGGGAAGGCAGTGGGAGAGATGAGCTCTCGCAATTTGGGTGAAATCAGGCCTGGGTGTGTGTGATGGGCAAGAGAAGCAAGGATGAGCCTGGTGTCTGAACCTTACGATAATGGGTGGTGATTCCCCAAAATGAAAACCAGGAGAGTATGTACTGGAGGGTTTGGGGGTGCTGATGGAACAGTGGAGTGAAGGAGGCGTGGGGGACGTTGCGGGGATGGATCCTGGATGCAGCTTGGGGGGTCCGGTGGGGCTGGGGTAGACTGAGGTCTGGACTAAGGGAGGCCTTGGGAGCCTGGGGCTGTCCTGGGAGAAGTGGAGGATGGAAGGGGCTGGAAGGAAGCTGTCTGGATGTGTGCCCTTACACATACATCTTAACGCGCTCTTGGGTTTTTCTTCCAGAAGAAATGAGCCAGAAGTGAGCGCTGGGAACAGAGTGGAGTCTCCGGTGTGTACCTCAGACTGATGGTGCCCATGTGTTCGCCTCCGCCCCCCACCCTTGCCACCACACTCGCCCACTTGCCCACCGGGTCCCGCCGGATAAATGACAGGCCCGAGGTCAGAATGGCCATCCCCGGGCCCCGTCCTGGGGTCTCTGTCCCCACTTCCTTCTGGCCTGGGAGGTCTGTAATTCCTGTCTCCTGGACTCTCCTGGGAAGTTCCCTGCTCTGCAGCTCTGGCCCAGGAGCTGCAGGCTGGGAGGGGGCAGCCAAGAAGCCGGAGCTGGCAGCATACCCAGAGATCCGGGGCCCCCCCACCCCCAAATCACGAGTGCAGCTGGAGCTTGCTCCCCCTTGTTCGGAAGCTGGACGTTCACTTGGTGACTGGTGCCTCTGCACTGACGGAGGACTCTGGGGGTCCTTCTTACCGGCTCTGACCTCTCTCTTCGTGCCTGGTCTGGGACTGGGTCAGCCCTGGGGGATCAGAAGGGGCCATCTGGGCCCAGCTGTGTACAGCGAGGGTGGGCAGCCCCCTCCACTCCACTCTGCTTCCACAAAGTCGGCTCCCGAGAGCTCGAGGCTGCTTCTGTTTATATGTGCAGGGCCCGGGCGGGTGAAGGGTCAGAGAGACGGACACAAGGAGCCGGCAGGAGGGCGGAGCGAGGATGTCCTTTCCCGGGAGACAAGTCGGGAAAGCCTGGCTGGACTGCCTCAGCCCCGCGCGCCTCCTGGACTCAGGGTTCCCCGTCCTGAGCTCGGGAGATGTTCAGAGTCACACTGCCGCCCGGTCTGCCACGCAGAGGTCCAACTTGCCACCCGCGTCCCTGGTACCTGAGACCACCGACATCCTCAGGTTCCTGACCGTGGCGCCCTTCTACCCAGCCCAGTGTGCGGCCGCCGCGCTGTCTGCACAGCTGGGGGCCTCTGAGCCTGGTGGGCTTCCTGGACTCTTGGCCTCACTCCTTGCCCCCTCCCCACGACACCCATGAGCCGAAAGGATGTCACTAAGGATGGCTGATTCCCCAAGGGCACCCGCTCTCCCTCCCTCCCTGCTGGAGGAACACGTCATATCAGATGAGAGGAAGATGGCCTCTGATGGACAGAATTTTTCTCTTAACTCAGCTTTTGCTACTTTGGCAAAAACTAGCGAGGGGTAGCAGAAACCTGCACCAAGGATTGTCCCTATGTCTTGGCCACTCCTAGAGCGTGTGCAGACTGATGATTTTATATGTAAATCAAGACTCACATCCCTTTCCTAGTCCCCCACATCCAAAGCCCCTCAGCCTGCCTTGCAGACCAATGGGCTCCATGTTCTGTAGCCCCCTCCCCTACGCCTCACCCCTCCTCCCTCTCACAGGTTCTGGGCGGCCAGTGAGAGAAACGCAGTGGGGGAGGCAGGGAGTCTGGTGCCTGCAGAGATTCTCTGCTTCTTTCCTGGGGGGAGGTGGGGAGGTCTTAGCAGGAGCGGGCCCTGTACCCACCTGCTGACCTGCTGTTTGGTAGAGAAATAAAGGTTGTGTGACTGGGGGAACGGAGGATCCTCAGCGTCTGTTTTCCTGGGGAGTGGTCCCGCCGTCTCCACCTATGGGGCGTCTGCCTGGGGCCCTACCACCTGCCCATACCACCTGCCCATACCACCTGCCCACACCCAGTCCAGGAAACGCTGAGCAAAGGTCTGGGGTTCACACATCACCAGGATTGCTCCCTTGGCCCCCAAGACAAGGCTCTGGAGAGCCACACTCGAGTGGCAGGTGCAGCGCCCGCAGAGCCTCCCAGCTTGGGATGCTCGCTCCTCACAGGGACGGTGTTGACAATTTGTGCACGAGTTCAAGGCCTTTTGTGCATTTTATTTTATTTGTTTATTTATGTATTTATTTGAGACAGAGTCTCGCTCTGCCACCCAGGCTGGAGTGCAGTGGTGCGATCTAGGTTCACTGCAACCTCCACCTCCCGAGTAGCTGCCTCAGCTTGAAGGGTAGCTGGGAGGGCATGCGCCACCACAGCCAGATAATTTTTGTATTTTTAGTAGAGATGGGGTTTCACCACGTTGGCCAGGCTGGTCTCAAACTCCTGACCTCAGGTGATCCGCCTACCTTGCTCGGCCTTCCAAGGTGCCGGGATGACAGGTGTGAGCCACCTCGCCCAGCCCCTTTTATGCATTTTATGATCTGCATGTCACCCCCTGAGGAAACAGCCTGGGAGAGTTCCATGATTGGGCCTGGGGCAGGGCTGGGCCCGGAGCCTGAATCTCAGGGGCCCCTTGCATCCCACAGAGGAGCCTCAACCCCAGCTCTTCTGTAGGTCCTACAGCTCTCCTGCTCTATCTCCCTCTCCTCCTCAAATCCCAGGATCCCATCCACCTTTGGCCCTTCCAAGCCCAGCTCAAATGCACCTCACACCTACCACCTCCCCAGGGCTTCCCTCAGCTCACAATACCCAGGGACCTCTGCGAGGCTGCCTGGGGTGAGCCGGCTCGCACAGGTGGCCCTACCTTCCTGGAAGCCGGGGCTCAGGGAAGGGAGTCGCCATGGCCCTCGTTTCACCAAAACCCATCATGAAGGCTTAGTATCTAATCCTTCACTCAGCTATCCTGGGAAGGAGACGCAGGCCCTGCCCACAGGGCCAGAGGCAGGATTGTCTACATAATTTGCAGGGCCCATTGCAAAATGAAAACCTGGAACCCTTTGACCAAAAATGACAAGAATTACAAAGACAGAAGAACATTCAATATGATGGCCGGACGTGGTGGCTCATGCCTGTAATCCCAGCACTTTGGGAGGCCGAGGCAGGTGAATGACTTGAGGTCAGGAGTTCGAGACCAGCCTGGCCAACATGGCAAAACCCCGCCTCTACTAAAAATACACAAATTAGCCAGGCGTGGTGGCGGGCACCTGTAGTCCCAGCTACTCAGAAGGCTGAGGCAGGAGAATCGCTTGAACCCAGGAGGCGGAGGTTGCAGTGAGCCGAGATCACATCATTGCACTCCAGCCTGGGTGACAGAGAGAGACTCTGTCTCAAAAAAAAAGAAAAAAAAAAGAACATTAAAATTCACCAAACCGTGTGCTTAAAATGGGTGCATTTTATTGTTTGTGAATTACACTGCAGTACAGTTTGACTTAAAAGGGAAAAAAAGAGGTAGCCACAGAAGAGGTGGGTGGGCACATGGCTGGCATGTTGGTGTGGTGGTGTCAGAACCCTCAGGACTGGAGAGGAGTGCTCAGTGTTTGGGGGCAGGGCCAGCCCCCAGGAGTTCTTAATCCAGGGCAGAGAGAGGCCGGGAATGAGGGAAAATGGCCCCAGCACAGAGCGTTTTTGAGCCCGGGGCCTGGTGCAGGTACTTGGATCACACGTCCATGATGCCAGCTTGTCGGTGGAGGCAGCACCCCCACCCCCAACCCAGGAGCTCCCAGGTTCCTTAGCAGGGGGCCTGGGGTTGGCGCCGAGCTCACAGCAGGAGCAGGGTAGGCAGAAGGCGCCTCCCTCCACATGGTCCACCCGTAAGACCTCTCATACCACAGGACCTTCTCATACACTTCATCTCCCGGTGTCTTCAGCCAGCCCTGGGAGATGGGCCAGGCAAGGGCTAGGGCTCCATTTACGGATGAGGAGCCCGAGGCCCAGAATGGGCGGGCCATGCCTTCCCCAAGGCCCTCTGACGATCTGAGCATCTAGCTTGCATCACGGGGGCCAGGCAGGCTGTGAGGCTCAGATGGGCTGGGGGTCCTGCGGACAAGGCGGTCGGCTCCAGGCTTCCCAGCCACGCTGCCTCCACCCCCGCCCAGGCCGGCCTGAGTCCAGCTCCGTCCAGCCCACAGCACGGAGCCGACGGGCCAGGATGGGGCGGCCAAGGTAAACAGAGGTCTCCTTACCTCACAGCTGGTCACCCAGGAGGGAATTCCGGGGCAAGCCCTGGCACGCTTCTAACTGGCAACTACCAAAACCCTCCTGGGGACCCTGCCCCTCCAGAGACCAGGACTCTGTGCTCCCCAGACCCCACGCTCCAGTCCTCACAGTGGTGGGAGGGACCCCGGTGGGGCTGTGTTAGGAGAAATGGAGGCACAAAATCACAGCAGGGAGGAGAAGGGAAGCTGGACATGCGCACAAAGGCCCCCGAGTGTCCACAGCGGCTTCACCCAGCACAGGCCTCAGATATCCATGAACAGATGAAGGATAAGCAAGCTGCAGTACGTCCACGCAACCGAGAGGAACCAACCACTGATGCACGCAACTGCCACCCGAAGCCTAAACCGCTGGGCTGAGCAAAGGCGGCCAGACGCGAAGGAGCTCCTCCTGCCTGATTCCACCTCCCTAACGCTCTGGACGAGACTGCACAAATCTGCAGTGACAGAGCGGGTCAGTGATTGCCTGGGCCTGGGGGTGCTGAGGAAAGATGGACCACAAACGGGAGGCGGGAGTGTTCTAGGCTGATGGATTTGGAGGGGGCTGGTGCATTTGTCAAAACTCATCAAACCATGTGCTTAAAATGGGTGCGTTTTATTGTATGCGAATTACACCCCAAGACAGTTGGATTTAAAGAAAAAAAAAAAAAAAGGCTGGGCATTGTGGCTCACGCCTGTAATCCCAGCACTTTGGGAGGCCGAGGCGGGCGGATCACGAGGTCAGGAGTTCGAGACCAGCTTGGCCAACATGGTGAAACCTGGTCTCTACTAAAAATACAAAAATTAGCCAGGTGTGGTGGCGGGTGCCTGTAATCCCAGCTACTCCGGAGGCTGAGGCAGGAGAATCACTTGAACCCAGGAGGCAGAGGTTGCAGTGAGCCAAGATCATGTCACTGCATTCCAGCCTGGATGACAAGAGTGAGACTCCACCTCAAAAAAAAAAAAAAAAAAAAAGAAAGAAAGAAAAGAAAAGAAAAAAAGAAAAAGAAACAGAAAAAAAGAGGTGAGTGCCAGAGAGGAGGTGGATGTGGCCACCATGCTGGTGTAGAGGTGTCAGCAGGATTGGGAGCTGGCGGTGGGCGGGGGCAGGTCTCCCACCTGAGTGCTCAGCACTGGGTGTTTGAGGGGCAGGGCCCAGCCCAGCCCCCAGGAGTCCTCTTTATTTTTATTTAATTAATGTATTATTTTGAGACAGGCTCTCGCTGTGTCACCCAGGCTGGAGTGCAGTAGCATGATCACGGCTTGCTGCAGCCTCCACCTTTCAGGCTCAGGAGATCCTCCCACCTCAGCCTCCCAAGTAGCTGGGACTATGGGCATACACCACCATGCTCAGCTAATTTTTTTTCTGTTTTGTTTTGTTTTGTTTTTTGAGACTGAGTTTCACTTTATCCCCCACGCTGGAATGCAGTGGCTCGATTTCGGCTCACTACAATCTCCCTGTCCTGGGTTCAAGTAATTCTCCTGCCTCAGCCTCCCTAATAGCTGGGATTACAGGCTCCCGCCACCACTCCCAGCTAATTTTTGTCTTTTTAGTAGAGATGGGGTTTCACCATGTTGGCCAGGCCAGTCTTGAACTCCTGACCTCAGGTGGTCTGCCCGCCTCGGCCTCCCAGGCAGCTATGGGCTATAAGCATGCTCCACCATGCCCGCCTAATTTTTTTTTCTGTATATTTTGTAGAGACAGGATTTCCCTATGTTGCCCAGGCTGGTCTCGAACTCCTGGGCTCAAGCAATCCTCCTGCCTCAGCCTCCCGAAGTGCGGAGATTACAGACACGAGCCACCAGCCCTGGCCTCCCAGGAGTTCTCTTAATCCAGGGCAGAGAGAGGCCGAGGATGAAGGGAAATGGCCCAGAGGGATGGAGGAGGACCAGGAGGGTGGGACATTTTAAACACACGGGAGGGGGGCTTCGGCCAGGTCACACCCAGAGTTGGGGGATAGAAGAGGCCTGAGAAGCAGCCCGGGTCCAGGCAATGGGAGACGCCAAACATGGGGGCCCACGCTGTACTCCCCAGGCCTCCCCGTAGCTGTCGGCCCTCCCCCAACCTCCCCTTGACAGCCTCTGCCAGGCTGGCCCAGGGCCCTGCTCCAGTCAGGGTCTAAGGGGCTATGTGGCATTAGAGGAATCTCTGGCCCAGATGGCATCACGGTTTGACTGGGGTATGGTTGCGGCATCCTCGGGCCCCTGAGTGACTAAGGAGACCTGTTGGAACCCGTGTCTGCTCCCTCGAGGGCTCCAGCCGGCCTCCAGCCTCCACGCTGCACAGAGCCGCTAAATTTAGCCAGGCCGGGGAGGCTGTCCCGGGGCCGAGTGCTTGGCAGCAGGGCTGTCTCCCTACAAGGCCCGGCCCAGTACCCGAGTCGGCCACCCGGTCTTTGGGCTTATAAGGCAGGACTGGCGGCTCTCAAGTGCTGGAGGCTTCGAGTGGGCCCGGGGCCAAGCCCTCAGACTTTGGGGAGCCTCCTTCTCAGCCACCAGCAGACATGGGAACTACTCACTGTGTGACCATGGGCCAGGGACTCAATCCCCACAGCCTCAGTCTCCTGATCTGTCAGATGTGGGCTCTAGGACCTGCCTCATGGGCCTGTTGTGAGGAAAACCCTGCCAGACTCCAGAGGGTGGAGCTCTGGCCTCTGTCCTGCCCACCTCAGCCCCAAACACCCAGAACAAAGGCAGGTGTCTGTCCCTGAGGACGCTGGGGCAGGGCCCAAGGGTGAGAAATCACAGCCTTTGGATCAGAAAGATGCATTTTAGAGCCAGTGAAAGAGACATTGACCCCGACAGCTGGCTGTCTTGCTCTTGTGGAGTTATCAGCAGCAGGAAAATAAATGTAGGTCCCTGGGGTACACTGTGGATATGATAAGATCCCCAAATGAGACGGTGCTCCAGGCCAGTCCACTTTCTCAGGGCCAGGGCCAGGGCCTAGGCTGTAACTGAATCACGTGTGTGTGCTCTGTCAGTCCATCAATCTGTCCAAGCAAGTCTGTCAGTCCATCCGTCAATCTCTCTGTCAGCAAGTGTGGCTCCTTGGAGGAGGAGGAGGAGGAGGAGGAGGAGGAGGAGGAGGAGGAGGAAGAAGACATGGTGGTGATGTGAGAGGAAGAACTTCCTGATCTTCCTTCCTTCCCTCCCTCCCTCTCTCCTCCCTCCCTCCCTCTTCCTTCCTCCCTCCCTTTTTTCCCTCCCTCCTTCTTCTTTCCTCCCTCCTTCCCTCCCTCCTTCCTTTTTTCCTTCCCTCCCTCCCTCCCTCCCCTTCCCTTCCTTTCTCCTCCCTCCCTCCCTTCCTTCTTTCCTTTACTCCTTCCCTCCCTCCCTCCCTCCCTTCCCTCCCTCCCTCCCCTCCCTCCCTCCCCTCCCTCTCTTCCCTTCCCTCCCTTCCTTCCCTTCCTTCTCCCTCCCTCCCTTCCTCCCTCCTTCCTCCCTTCCCTTCCCTTTCCTCCTCCCTCTCTCCCTCCCTTCCCTTCCCTTCCTTTTCCCTCCCTCCCTCCCTTCCTCCCTCCGTTCCCTCCCACCCCACCCACTCTCTAGAACGCATATCAGGGAGAAGGGTGGCTGAAAAGGGACCCAGAATGGCCCACACAGTCTCAGCACCCACCCCACTCCCCATCACAAGCAGCTGTGTCCTGGTGCCTCCCATTCCAATGGCCACAGGGGCAGCTGGGAAAGGAACTGTCTAGGGTCAAGGTCAGGCCAAGGGGAGACGTGGCCACCACAGTTCTGGCTCCCAGCATCTCTGGATTTTCTTTAGAAAAGCCCATGACACCCACTGGATTAGCAGAAACTCCGCGAGGGGTGAGGCTGATCTACTTGACAAGGAGAGACTGACCTGGGTGCTGGAAGGGGCCATGGGCAGCCCTCTGTGGGTGACCCCCATTCAGACAGGCTGCCGGGATTCCCAGCCCCAGGGCCTGGCTCCCTGCCCAGAGCACTTCCAGCTCATGGCTCGCCAGCAAGAAGACTCCTTATCAGCCTTAAGGGTGGGGCGGCTCCGACGACAGGGCCGTGGGGGCTCGCCAGGGAGGCCCCTGCTTCCAGCTTGAACCTCCAGTACCACCCCGGGTGAGCTTGGGCAACTCATTTCTCTTCTCTGAGCTTGGTTTTCTCATCTTCAAAACGAGGGGTGGGGCTGGGGAGGCCTCCAGCTCTGAGGAGCCAACGTGGGACCCTCTGCCCACCCCAAACCCCTGTGTTCAGGGCCCGAGCTGGGGGTGGGAAGGGAAGGCAGGGACTGCAGAGGTGCTGTGCCCCAGACTCAATGGTGGCCTCCAGTTCTCTGTCCCGTGTTGCTGAGACCCATCCCCTGTGAGCCTCGACCTAGAAGGAACAGCCCTTATTACCCCAATTTACAGATGAGGAAGCAGGCTCGGAGAGGCAAGGTGACACCCAGCCCCCACAGCCAAGAAGTGGCAGAGCCAGGGATCTCCGAGGTCAGGCTCTCTCGGCTGGTCTTGGGCCCCCCATGGCACTGGTGACGGATGTGGTGCTGGTCTTGGCTGGGCACCTGCCACCTCTCTCCCTCTGATGGTGGCCCCGGCAGGACAGACAGTGGGAGAGGAGAGCTGGGGGATAGAGATGCCAGCTCAGCACCGAGGTTGACCGGGCACAGGCCAGGCTGGAACTCAGAGCCTCCTTCCTCTCTGCCTTGCTCGCTGCAGACCCCCAGGGACGAAGCAGCCAACCCTGGTGGGGGAGGGTGGAGGGTGGTGGATGGGGCTGGGGATGGAGGTCTCATTTTGGCAGTGGAGGGGAGTCGCGGGGAGTCCCCTAATCTGAGGAGACTCCAGCTTCCCCCAGGCCCTGGCCAGAGCTCCATCTTGCCAGGTTTTGGGGGGAGGATAACTTGAGGAGTCGACTGAGAGCTTTATCTTTGCCCCTGTGACGGGTGGCCTGTGGTTTCCTGCCAACAACTCCTGTTTCCGGAGGCCCAACAAGGCCCACGCAGAGCCAGGAGGGGCAGTGGGGCTGGGCCTGGGTGGCCCCACCAGCCCCGCCCCATCTATCTTTGGGAATTTATTTGTCCATGGGCGAGGCTGGCCTGCAGTCTGTTGCCTTCCAGGGGCCAAGAGCTGCTCTGATCACCCAGGGATTCTCTCTCCAACCCAAGTGCCTCCAGCTGACCTCTGGCTCCTGTCCTCTGGCTCCACCTGCACCGCCCTGCTCTTCCTAAGGGGCCAGGAAGCCCCCAGAAGCTCTACCATCGACGTGGGTGGTGGCACCCGGCTCACCCTGAGAGCAGAGGCCGTGCAGGGGGCTCAGTTCTGAGCCCCAGCCGGCCCACCATGGCACGGCGGTTCCAGGAGGAGCTGGCCGCCTTCCTCTTCGAGTATGACACCCCCCGCATGGTGCTGGTGCGTAATAAGAAGGTGGGCGTTATCTTCCGACTGATCCAGCTGGTGGTCCTGGTCTACGTCATCGGGTGAGTCCGGGCGCCTCCCGCTGCCTGCACCAGCCCCTACCCCGGGCCTGTCCTCCAGACTCTGACATCCCTTGCGTGACACCAGCGAGCCCCTCTTCCTCTCCATCCAGGGGAAGGCCTTCCTGGCAAGCCACTGTGCGAGAATAGAAAATCCTGCCAACTCGCTGTTGAGATGGGGACGAGGCCGGAGGGGAAGCCCTGCCCGGGGGCCTTCGGTGAACAGGAGGCAGAGTCTCTGGGTTCTGAGGAGCCGGCTCAGTGTTATGGTTCCTTTGAGTGGTTAGTGGTGTTCAGGGCCAGGGCACCACCAACCACAGCCACTGAGTCCTCGACCTCTGACCGCCTGCCAAACCAGGCCGCCACTGACACACAGAGGCCATACCCCACACCCGTCACCCCATATGACAAGTTAGAGAGAGACAGACTCTGCTGCCAGCTTCCCTGCCTGAGCAAGGGACATCCAGGGACGTTTGAGGCCCCCGGAGCAGAGAAACTCTCACATTCTGAATACCTGGTGCCTTCATGTTGGCATGTCAGGCGGAGGACAGAGATTGGTTCTGGTCCCAGGGATGATAGTTCCTTTCTGGGCATCTCCGGACCTGTCCCACCGGGCTGGGAGTGCAGAATCAGAGGCAGCGTGGGACGCTCCTGCAGTATGGTTGTCTCGGGAGCCAAGACAGGCCTGGCAGAGGCTGGCACACTTGTGAGTGTGCATATGGAGCTCTGTGCCTATATGTGTCTGGGTGTGTGTCCCTGGTGCTGAGTGCCCACATGTGGGTACCCTTATGTGTACATATGGCTGTGCCCATGTCTGCCCTGTGGCCAAGTGTCTGGGTGGCCAGTGTGTGTCCCCTGTGTGTGGTGCATCTTGTCCACTCACAGTGACTCTGCAGAGGTCTCCTGGAGGCCCCAGGGCCACTGGAGGGGGCTCAGCCCCTGCTGGGGTCCTAGGGGTGCCCAGTAGCCCCTGCCTGCCTTTGCCGTGTGATTCTGAGAGCTCTACCCTCCCCATTTTTACCATGGTTCCGAACCAGAACTGCTAAATGGAGTCCAGGGCAGGCTGACCCAGGGCCCAAACAAGGACCATGAAGTCCTAGTCCCCCGGAAACTTCTGGCGTCCAAAAGAGCCCTCCTTCTGTCCCACCAGTCCCCAGAACCTCAGAGCCGGCCAGGTGGACCCAGGGCCAGACCCCAGCCTTGACCTCTCCTCTCTCTTGTTCAGAAACTAATTTGACATCTGTGATGTCTGAGCTTGTGAGGGAAACTGAGGCCCAGAGAGGGGCAGTGGGGTTTCCAGGTCCACAGCAAGTCAGCAGCAAACCCAGGGTTGCAGCTGAGCCCTCCTGACCCCCAGGCCTCTGCTGTGCCTTCTCCTTCCTCACCATCACAAGGGGCTGTGGATCCTTTCTACTGGGCACTGATGGTGGGATGCCAGGTACAGGACGGGCCGGAAGTCCACCCTTAGTATCACTCCTGACCGTCCCTGGGAGAGGCTGTCTGCGCAGGCCCAGCCTACCCTTGCTGGAAGAGGCTGGGGGAAGGCTGTCCTCTCTCTGCCCCTGCGGCTCCCTAGTTCTGCTTTCAGATCTGCAGGTGTGAGGGGCACCAGGTCCCTCCTCTGTGTGTGTCACAGGCTGTCAGCGTTGGAGGGACCCACCCATTCCCAGCCGTAGCCTATGCCCCAAGCTGCTGCCCAGCCGGGAACCTATACCTCCAGTGACGGGGACCTCACTACCGTCCTCCTGCCTGTCTTCCCTCCCAAGACTGTCTAATCAGTTTCCAAATGGATGTGGCCCTTCTCGGTGTCTGTGGGGCTCAGGACCACAGGGATTAGCCAGGATCTCACAGCTTAGTAAGAGACTAACCAGGATTTGAACCCACCTGCATGGCTCCAAAGTCAGCCTTGATATTCTGGAAAGGCAACCTCCTCAGAGAGAGGGCACTGGCCTGCCCACGTCACACAGCAGAGGGTGGAAGGAAGGCAGAGTCCGTCATCACCAGCAACCCCCAGGGCTGCAGGCCCAGGCTTCCAGCTCCTGCTCAGGCTGTGGTGCCTGCTGTCTCTTGCGCCCTCGTCTGGCCACTGCTCAGTACTGCACTGACCTCTCAGCCAGGAACCCACAGCGGCAAACCGAACCCCTGACCCAGCCTGGACTTGGTCTTGGCATCTCCGGACTCAGCTTCCTAACCGGCCCGTGGGGCACGGGTTGCAGGGGACCACCCCCCCCAAGAGTGCACTCAGCTCAGCACTTTGCTGTTTCCTGAGGAGGGCTTTGCTTTCATGTCTGATCCTGTGGGCACTGCCAGGGGATGGAAAGGAGCATGAGAGAAGAGCCAGGCCCCCGTGTCCCAGACACAGGGCAAAGCCTGGGTGGGGGATGGGTGGACACAGAGACAGACCTGGACAGAGGGACAAACGCCAGAGCACAACTCAGACGAAGGGTGGGAGGTCCCGAGACTCAGAGATGGACAGAGTTACTGAGGCTGAGCAGGGAGGCTGAGAAGCCAAGAACACAGACTCAGGAGGAAAACCGAGGCCATGGTCTCCGCCAGTCATGCTCCTCCAGGAGATCCTGGGCAAGTGCAGGCAGTGAGTGGGCCTGAGACCAGAAGGCTGAGCTGAGCTGACCCTCTCAGATCCAGTTAAGATGGTCTCAGTTAAGGCTGGGCACAGTGGCTCATGCCTGTCATCCCAACACTTTGGGAGGCTGAGGTGGGAGGATCACCTGAGGTCAGGAGTTTGAGATCAGCCTGGCCAACATGGTGAAACCCCGTCTCTACTAAAAATAGAAAAAATTAGCTGGGTGTGGTGGTGCACGCCTGTAATCCCAGCTACTTGGGAGGCTGAGGCAGCAGAATCACTTGAACCCTGGAGGCAGAGTGGAGCTGAGATTGCCCCATTGCACTCCAGCCTGAGTGACAGAGTGAGACTCCATCTCAAAAAAAAAAAAAAAAAGATGGTCTCAGTTAGAGCTCTCCCCGAAGAGCTGATGAGCTCTCTGTCCCTGGTGGTGTACAGGCAGTGGGGAGGAAGCCAGGGAGGCCTTCCTGGAGGAGGTGACACACTGATGGAACCAGCCATAAGCAAAGACCTGGGGGCTGTGGGCTGGGCTGGCCTGCTCTCAGCTTTCTCTCCAGTCCCTCTGGGTCTCTTCTCAACTAAGTCCTCACTCATCCCCTGCGCCTCCACACAGACCTCTTGAAATCACATGTTCTGAGATCTCCAAGTGGAGATCAGAGTGCACCAATCAGGGAGAAGGATGGATAGAAATTATTGGGGGGAGAAACACATCCAGGGACCGTTTCTGCAGCATCTTCTCCATGCCTGGTGCTGTGCCGGGGAACAGAGGTGGGACATGGAATGGAGAGAGGGAGAGGGAGGAACTGAGGGTGAATTAGCCAGACTCCTTTGGTTCCTGTGAGAAAAGTCTAATCAAACAGATTTAAAAGGAAGGGTGGGCCGGGTGCGTTGGCTCACGCCTGTAATCCCAGCACTCTGGGAGGCTAAGGCGGGTGGATCACTTGAGGTCAGGAGTTTGAGACCAGCCTAGCCAACATGGTGAAAACCCATCTCTACTAAAAATACAAAAATTAGCTGGGTGTGGTGGCGCACGCCTGTAATCCCAGCTACTCGGGAGGCTGAAGCAGGAGAATCGATTGAACTTGGGGGGCGGAGATGGCAGTGAGCCGAGATCGCACCACTGCACTCCAGCCTGGGCAACAGGGTGAGACTCCGTCTCAAAAAAAAAAATAAAAAAACAAACAAATAAATGAATATATAAATAAAAGGAAAGGTGGGGGTATCCGGTGGTTTATGTAACTGAAAAATCAGTGTGGGTTTCAGGCCCGGCTGGATCCTCCAGGATGAAGACACAGGAGGAGTAAGGTTTAGAGGGGAGAGGGGATGAGGAATTCCTGCGGGTCCAGTCTTGGTTCTCAAAAGAAGCTGCCCATGACCTATCTCCCTTTCCTGGCTCTTCTTTCCTCTGTGGAGGCTTCATTCTCAGGCAAGTTCTCTGTCTTCACAGTGGTGAAACGGCCACCAGCAGCTCCAAGCTAACATCTCACCAGTTTAGCCACTCCCGAGGCACAAGAGTGGCTCCTTCTCCAGAGCTCCAGCAAAAGTCTCAGGTTCAATTCTTATTGGCCGGGGTCGGGTCCCGTGCCCACCCCAGAACCAATCAATCATTGCAGTCAAGGAAACGGAATGCCCTGATTGGAGGAGCCTGGTTGCGTGCCCACCCTTCCAGGCTCTCCTGTCGGGACACAGTGTGAACCAAGGTCTTGGGGCCGGAGAGGAATAGAGAAGGTGTCACTGGGACTAGGCTGAAGGGGCCATAAAAGGAGCCCAAGGGAGAGGCTGTGAAAGGGAGAGCAGGGGCGATGGCGAAGGCCTTTGAACACCAGGCTGAGGCGCCCGGATTTCTTCTGCAGGCAGAAGGGAGCCAAGACAGGATGTCTAGCAGGGGAGGGCCTGGAGCAGGCAGGGGTGGGCGTGGGGACCGGAGGCAGGACAGCTGTGAAGAGGCCGCAGGGATGGGAAGGGGGGACGGGGCGGGACCCAAGGCAGAGGCAGTGAGCACGGGTGACAGATGTCGTCACCCCGGCAGGCCTCACGCCTGGGGCGGCCCCTGCTCAGCTTCTGCCCATTGTTGCCGCAGCACGTAACACCTGGCACAGCCAGAGCTTCCGACGTCTCAAGAGAAGTGGGAAGTGAGATTTATGCATGAAAGAAACCGCTTGGTTTTTAGAGATTGGTGACGTATTCAAAAAAAAAGAAAGAAAGAAAGAAAGAAAAACAGACCGGGTGCCATGGTGCACGCCTGTAAACCCAGCACTTTGGGAGGCCAAAGTGAGCGGATCACTTCAGCTCAGGGGTCCAAGACCAGCCTGGCCAACACAGTGAGGCCCTGTATCTAAAAAAAAAAAAAAAAATTACCCAGGTGTGGTGGCGCGTGCCTGTAGTCAGTCCCAGCTACTCAGGAGGCTGAGGTGGGAGGATCACCTGAGCCTGGAAAGTTGAGGCTGCAGTGAGCCACGACTGCACCAGTGCACTCCAGCCTGGAGGACAGAGTGACACCCTGTCTCAAAAATAAATAAAGAACAATAAAAATAAAATAATTAAAAACACAAATGGTTGGCCTGAGATTCAATTCCACATTCAGTTAGTCATTCAACACACAGTGTTTGTTGAGTTCCTATTATGTGCCAAGCACTATTCTAGACACTAAAAATACAGAAGTGAACAAAACAAACCAAGATCCTGCACTCAAGGAACTTAACCCAGATGCCCCTCGACTTGTCTGCGGGTTGCATGGGGGCCTCAGGGTGGGCCCCAGTTCTGAGCACATTCCCTCCCAGGCCTGGAGTCTGCTCATGCCCCTCCCCAAGGCTGCTGCTCCCTGACAGCACACGCCCCATCTGGTCAACTCCTGCCTGTGGCCCATGGCCATACCCTGTGTCCCACCAGCCACCTGGCCGGTCCTCCCAACCCATGCCAGAGCTGCCCCCGCACCTGTCCCAGCTCCTCCAGTGTCTCAGCCTTCCCAAAACCAGCCCTTCTGGGTCCTTAGATGAAAGCCGAGGGAGGACCAGAAGGACTGGGGGATCCAATGAATGTGGGGGCATGATGGGGAGGGTGGCTGTGAGGATGCTGCCTGGGTGTTGAGCCTGGGTGATAGGGTGAGGACAGCACCATTCTCCATGACGAGGACACAGGGGAACAAGTTCTAAAGGGAGATGAAGAGTTCAGGTTGATCCAATTGAATTTCTGTCTGTATAGTGGTTAGTGCTTGGCACGAAATAGATTTCGTAGGCCGGGCACAGTGGCTCATGCCTGTAATCCCAGCACTTTGGGAGGCAGAGGTGGGTGGATCACCTGAGGTCAGGAGTTCAAGACCAGCCTGGCCAACATGGTGAAGCCCCGTCTATACTAAAAATACAAAAATTAGCCAGGCGTGTTGGTGTGCGCCTGTAATCCCAGCTCCTCAGGAGGCTGAGGCAGGAAAATCGCTTGAATCCGGGAGGCAGAGGTTGCAGTGAGCCTAGATCGCCTCATTGCACTCCAGTCTGGGGGACAGAGCGAGACTCCGTCTCAAAAAAAAAAAAAAAAAAAAAAGAATTTATCAGGACATCACCACATTGTAAATTGAGGAGCATCTGGACTTAGCGTGGTTTGACTTAGGATTTTTTGACTTTATGGTGGGTTTATTGGGGGTATTAAGAGCCTTTTGACTCAGGATGGGTTTATCAGGTTATAGCCCCATCGTCATTTGAGGAGCATCTGTGTAAGACCCTTGGGTGCGAGATTTTTGTTTGTTTTGTTCACTTTTGTGTTTGTTTTGTTCAACAGTGTTTGGCGCATGAATAGGGGCTGGATAAATACGTGTTTGTTTTTGTTTTTTAGTAGAGACAGCGTGTTACTATGTTGCCCAGGCTGGTCTCTAACTCCTGGCCTCAGGTGATCCTCCCCTCTCAGCCTCCCAAAGTGCTAGAATTGCAGGCCTGAGCCACCACACCCGGCTCATGTTTGTTGAATGATTGAATGTGTGGAATTGAATCTCAGGGGAGAGTGCAGTCTGGAGATAGAATTCTGGGGACACAGCGTGTCTGAGGCAGCTCACTCAGGGAATGGGGGCGGATCAACATTGAAAGAGGAATTTGTGAAGGAGGAACGGAGAACAGTGAAAATGGGAGGTTTTCATTATATGTGCCCACTGAGTGCCAGGCACTGTGCTAATTTCCTTAAGAACTCATAGAGGCCGGGCGCGGTGGCTCCCGCCTGTAATCCCAGCACCTTGGGAGGCCGAGGCGGGCGGATCACGAGGTCAGGAGTTCCAGACCAGCCTGACCAACATGGCGAAACCCTCTCTCTACTAAAAATAAAAAAAATTAGCCGGGCGTGGTGGGGCGCGCCCGTAGTCCCAGCTACTCGGGAGGTTGAGGTGGGAGAATTGCTTGAACCCGGGAGGTGGAGGTTGCAGTGAGCCAAGATCGTGCCACCGCACTCCAGCCTGGGCAACAGACTGAGACTCCATCTCAAAAAAAAAAGAACTCATAGAAGCTTCCCCCAAACACTTACCTAGATGCTTCTGTCTCCTGGGGCCCAGGCTGAGTTTGTAGCAGAGCCTCACTAAACACTTAATGAATAAGCAGCGCCTTTGAGGTAGGTGGCGTCACCTCTGTTTTATTGAGAAAACCAGGGCTCAGAGAGGTGTAGTCTCTAGCCTGAAGCCACACAGCTGGGGAGCAGCAGGGCTGGCACCTGACCCTCAGCCACTCCACCCTGTGGCCTCTTCCTTGAGAAGGCCATTGGAGAGCCCCAGGATGGGGGATTGCTGATGACGAGGTAGAAAGCATGGTGAGGGTTATTTCTGGAAGGGGAGAGGCTTCTGAAGATGCCTGTGTCTGACATCAGGCCCTCTTGGTTGTCTTCCCAGGGTGGTGACAATAAGGCCAGATCAAGGCATGGCTTTGGAGGAGCAGGCCTGGCACCATAGTCATTCTATTATTATTTTTTGTTTTTTTGAGACGGAGTCTCACTCTTGTCGCCTAGGCTGGGGTGCAGAGTGCAATCTTGGCTCACTGCAACCTCCGCCTCTGAGGTTCAAGTGAGTCTCTGCCTCAGCCTCCCAAGTAGCGGGATTACAGGTGCCCGCCACCACCATGCCCGGCTAGTTTTTGTATTTTTAGTAGAGTTGGGGTTTCACCATGTTGGCCAAGCTGGTCTTGAACTCCTGACCTCAGGTGATCCACCTGCCTTGGCCTCCCAAAGTGCTGAGATTACAGGCATGAGCCACCGCGCCCAGCCCATAGTCATTCTATTATCACCAGAGTTGAGGTCATGAATGCCAGATCTGACCGACCTTTCCCTTCGACCTCAAGACCGGCAGCTCCAAGGTGCATCAGCCCCGGCTTGTGGGCTCCAGGTGGCTCTGTTTCCCCTCTGTGCTCTGCCTCCTGGGAGACACGTCGAAGCCAGTGTTGCTCAGTGGAGGTGGGCTGAGTCCTGGGCTGGGTGCCTCAAGCATGGGGACACTTGAGACCGCCACTCCTGCAGGCCTCAGCTTCCCTGTCTCTTGGGAAAAGGTAGAAAGTTCGTTTTGGGCAAAGATAGAAACGTTGCTAAGCTGTTGGGGCTGAAGGTGCCGAGAGGGAGGTCAGTGGCCTGTCCTGCAGAGGGGCCCAGGACAAGGAGAAACTCCTCCTCCCCCCTGCATCAGCTCCTTCTGGCTTGGACACAGAACCAGAGGCCCTCCTGGAGGAAGGGGCCCAAGGAGGCCAGTGGGGGGATGGGCAATGCTCTTGCTCTCCCTGATGGGGCTGGAGGCAGCGTGACAGACTCAGGACACTGAGGATCAGAGGCCTTTGTCATGCCTCCACCTGTTGCTATCTGGGACCTGCAGGGGACAGCAGTGACCAAGCTTAGGCTTCGGGAGCATGTGACTTGGCCCCAGTGCCAAGGTGAGAGGGGGCTTAGAGAAGAGGTGGGTGGGCCATGAGAAGAAAGAAGAGGACATTGGTGGGTGGCCTCCCTGGGGCCTGCAGCAGGGAGAGAGGTGACTCTGGGACTAAGAGGCCTGGAGAGTTCTGTTACCAGATCTGAGCCCTGGGGGAAGGAGCAGGGAGTCCATTGCTTTGAGCTCCCCTTGGACAGGTGAGCTCGGGGTAGGGTAAGGAGTGGAGGGGGATGATACATCTGGCCACAGGTGCACTCACAGATTTGCCCTGCAGGTATACAGCCACACACCCCATACCCCAACACACACACACACACACACACACACACACACACACACGTTACCCTGAATCTCCAAAAAGAGTCTTTCCTCGAGGAAGGGGCCACAGCCTGGAGAGGAGTGTTATCCAGGACTATTTCATTTGCAAGCAACAGAAACCAAATCCGAACTGGCTTAAACAAAGGAAGGACATTTATTGGTTTACGTAACTGAAAAGTCCAGAAGTAGATTTTTCAACTGTGCTTCAGGTATGGCTGAATCCAGGTGCTCAAACAACATTGTCAGGATTCTGCCCCTCTCTATCTCCTGGCCTGGCTTTCCTCTAGGAGAGCTTCATTGTCAGGATTGCTCTCTCCAGAAGGTGGCAAAGATGACTACCATAGTTTTCGTCTTGCAGCCACCCTGCTTAGCCACTCAATAGACAGGATGTTTCTTTCCTGGCAATTCCCAGAAAAGTCCTGGCCTCATTGCTGAAACTCCTCAGGTCATGTGCGTGTCCTTAGACCCGTCACTGTTACTAGGGGGATGGAACATTGATTGGCAAGCCTTGGTTATCTGCCCAACTCCTGGGGCTAAGAGGGAGGTTAGCCTCATGGAACCTTCCAGACTGAAAGTGGAGAATCCAAAGGAACGGGACAGCTCAATGCTGGGAAGGCAAGGCCAGAATTTCCCAAGAAAACTGGAAGACCTCCCGACTGAGCCACTCCCACAGTGCCTCGACCGAGGGGCTGGACGCTGCAAGCCCTCCAGAGGACCACCTCCCTGCTCTGTTTTCCTCGCTGTCTCCCAGGGGGTCCCAGCATGGCTGGATCATAATAACAACTAATGTCTATACTGCATTTATTCTGTGCCATCCCCATTCTGAGTGTTTCTACATGTATGAACTCACTCACTTGATCACTACAAGAAGTACCATTGTTGGCCGGGTGCGGTGGCTCATGCCTATAATCCCAGCACTTTGGGAGGCCGAGGCGGGCGGATCACTAGGTCAAGAGATCGAGAACATCCTGGCCAACACGGTGAAACCCCATCTCTACTAAAAATACAAAAAATTAGCTGGGCGTGGTGGTGCATGCCTGTAATCCCAGCTACTCAGGAGGCTGAGACAGGAGAATCGCTTGAACCCGGGTGTAGGAGGTTGCAGTGAGCCGAGATGGCGCCGCTGTACTCCAGTCTGGGTGACAAAGCGAGACTCCGTCTCAAAAAAAAAAGAAGTACCGTTATTATTCCTATTTTATAGATGAGGAAACTGAGGCACAGGGGATTGAATAGCTTACCCCAAATCCCACAGTAAGTATGGAGCTGGGATTTAGACCCAGGCTGTTAGGCATTGAAGACCATATTCTCAGCCTTCGTGCTCTGTTGGGACCTCTGGAAGGAGGAGCACCCTGGAAGGAGGAGGCTTGGCCTCCAGGCCCCAGCAAACTCTGTTCTTGGAAAAGGATTGGAAAGAGTATTTGAATTAGCAGTTTCTTTCTTTCCTTTTTTTTTTTTTTTTTTTTTGAGACAGAATTTTGCTCTTGTCGCCCAGGCTGGAGTGCAATAGCGCGATCTCGGCTCACTGCAACCTCCGGCTCCTGGGTTCAAGAGATTCTCCTGCCTCAGCCTCCCAGGTAGCTGGGATTACAGGCACCCACCACCATGCCAAGCTAATTTTTGTATTTTTAGTAGAGACAGATTTCATCATGTTGGCCAAGCTGGTCTCAAATTCCTGACCTCAGGTGATCCACCCGCCTCGGCCTCCCAAAATGCTGGGATGGCACGCCCGTCCTGAATTAGCATTTTCATAGTGAAAAGCACCGTGGAACTTCAGGCCCAGGCCAGCAGCGGGAGGCAGGGGAGGCTGTCCTGCCTCTAGCCCAAGACAGGAGCTTTAGGAGCAGATGGTGGCTCAGAGGCACATCTGGGGAGGGCGTGGGAAAGCGTGTGACAGGTCCAGCTGGTGCCACAACCACAACTCCCCCTCTGTCCCCACCCGCACAGGTGGGTGTTTCTCTATGAGAAGGGCTACCAGACCTCGAGCGGCCTCATCAGCAGTGTCTCTGTGAAACTCAAGGGCCTGGCCGTGACCCAGCTCCCTGGCCTCGGCCCCCAGGTCTGGGATGTGGCTGACTACGTCTTCCCAGCCCAGGTGAGCTGGCTCAGGTTTGCACCTTCCCCTCACAGGGCCTGTCTCAGAGTTGGGTGGGACTCTGTCCCACGTCCCTGTGGGACCAGCCCAGCTCCTCTTTCTCTCTGGACCTCTGTGAATGCCGGGCAGAAGCAGCCTGGTGATATCACCCCATGTTGGTGGCAGGGGGTGTGGTGGCTGCTGCGTGTCCTGTGGGCTCTAGGGGCCTCTGCTGGGGCAGCGGTGGGGCCCTTGGGGCTCTTCTCCCAGCTCCCAGCCCACCCCACCCTCCCCCTGCCCCTCACTTCTAGGGGGACAACTCCTTCGTGGTCATGACCAATTTCATCGTGACCCCGAAGCAGACTCAAGGCTACTGCGCAGAGGTGAGGACTTCTGCCCGCCAGCCCCCTTCTGGGACTCACAGGGGAAAATGACGTGCAGAGAAAGTCTCCAGGGGCACTGGAGGGGAAGCCAGAGAGGCTTCCTGCAGGGGCCATAGTGATGGAAATTTGGGCGCATATTCACACACAGCAACTGTCAACCCTTGCAGAGCTGAGCCTTCCCGCCCAGCACACGGTGTACCAGGCAGGGTGCCGAGACTTCGTGCCCACCCCCACCGCCCAGCTGACATTGGCAGTGGGCAGCTGGGCATGAGCCCGGGGGGCGCCTCGGCAGAGCAGTGTGGGGGGAAATGGGGGAAGGAGGCTGTGAGCAGGCGTCACTCCAGAGAGGTCTGAGACTCTGCCCCACGCTCTCCCTAGGGCCCTGGGGGGTGGGGAGAGGGGCTCTTCTCAGGACCCCACCCAAGGGGCCTGGGACCAGCAGCTTTTGCCTCCCCCAGCACCCAGAAGGGGGCATATGCAAGGAAGACAGTGGCTGTACCCCTGGGAAGGCCAAGAGGAAGGCCCAAGGTAAGGTCAGCCTCCTCCTGTCCCTCCACAGTCCCCCGGCTGCGGTCCCTGACGTCCTGCAGGCCCAGCTTGGTGCTGACCTGCCTCTCTCCACACCCCTCCCGCCGAGGCGGCCTCCGGGAGGGACTCCCTCCTGCCGTCTCCCCTCCTCCGCCCTGGCTTGGCCTGCCCGTCCGGGACCCAGCCACGTTTCTGTCCTTGGCTCCTTTGCTTGAGTGGCCCGTCACTGGGAGCTCCTGGAGAAGGGGTCTGGGGCGGCCTCCTCTGTTTAGTGCAGGCACCCAGGGGTTTCCCTCTGGCTCCAGGCATCCGCACGGGCAAGTGTGTGGCCTTCAACGACACTGTGAAGACGTGTGAGATCTTTGGCTGGTGCCCCGTGGAGGTGGATGACGACATCCCGCGGTAACACTCTGACCTTCCAGAGAGCTAAGAACAGGGTCCCAGGCCAGACAGAGGGGGGCCTAGGTCTAGAAAGGATCTTTACCCCTTTTTCTGACCCCACCCTCACCCCATCCGCGCAACCTAGGCTGAAGATTCCCCTGGGTCCTGGCCACGCTAGAGCACACCCACCCCTCCACCAGCCCAGGGCTGCAGGCGGGTCCCGGAGGCTCGGCCCACCCCCTGCTGTGCCAAGCTCTGTGTGGGACACACAGGGGGCCTCCTGGGGAGGGGCGGTGAGTGCGTGTGGTGTCCTCCAGCCCTGCCCTTCTCCGAGAGGCCGAGAACTTCACTCTTTTCATCAAGAACAGCATCAGCTTTCCACGCTTCAAGGTCAACAGGTGCGTGGGAAATTCGGGCAGAAATGCAGGCAGCTGGCCGGGGCCGCTCCGGCAGCTCTCAGCTGTCTCTGTCTCCCTCCATTCCTGCTGGCGTGGAAGGAATCAAAGGGGCAATGTGGAGCCTGTGAGGGGTCCCCAGGCTTTGGGGCGTGGTGGGCACCCTCCCGGATGACACACAGCAGCTGTCAACACCTTCCACCCCCACAGGCGCAACCTGGTGGAGGAGGTGAATGCTGCCCACATGAAGACCTGCCTCTTTCACAAGACCCTGCACCCCCTGTGCCCAGTCTTCCAGCTTGGCTACGTGGTGCAAGAGTCAGGCCAGAACTTCAGCACCCTGGCTGAGAAGGTATGGAGCATGGTGCCAGGCACGTGGGGAGGGCTGGGCCGCAGGATCCTGATAAAGGCTTTTTAGGCCCAGTTCATCTTCCCAAGTCTCCTCGGTGAGGGCTGAGTATATGTATGGGTCTGTCCCCTGATACTGGGGCCCCCTGAGCGTCAGATCCATGTCTTCAGCAGGTCCTGGCATGGAACTGGCACGAAGGAGGTGCCCAGAATGAACGGATGTGGGCAGACCTTGTCATCTGGATGTTTGTTGATGCCCTGCTTTAAAAAAAAAAAAAAACTAGATAAAAGCAGCTTGGTCAGGTGCGGAGGGTCGTGCCTATAATCCCAGCACTTTGGGAGTCAGAGGCGGGTGGATCACTTGAGGTCAGGAGTTTGAGACTAGTCTGGCCAACATGGTGAAATCTCCTTCTCTACTAAAAATACAAAAATTAGCCAGGCATGGTGACGCGCACCTGTAATCCCAGCTACTAGGGAGGCTGAGGCAGGAGAATCACTTGAACCCGGGAGGCAGAGGTTGCAGTGAGCTAAGATTGCGCCACTGCACTCCAGCCTGGGCAATGGAGCAAGATTCCATCTCAAAAACAAAAAAAAAACAAAAACAAAAATTGGCCGGGCACAGTGGTTCACGCCTGTAATCCCAGCACTTTGAGAGGCCACGGTGGGCGGATCACCTGAGGTCAGGAGTTCGAGACCAGCCTGACCAGTATGGTGAAACCCCGTGTCTACTAAAAATACAAAAAAATTAGGCAGGCATCGTGGCATGCGCCTGTAATCCCAGCTACTTGGGAGGCTGAGACCGGAGAATCGCTTGAACCTGGGAGACAGAGGTTGCAGTGAGCTGAGATCACGCCACTGCACTCCAGACTCGGGGACAGAGCAAGACTCTGTCAAAAAAAAAAAAATACAAAAATTATCTGGGTGTGGTGGCGGGCACCTGTAATCCCAGCTACTCAGGAGGCTGATGCAAGAGAATTGCTTGAACCCGGGAGGCGGAGGTTGCAGTGAGTCGAGATTGCACCACTGCACTAGTCTAGCCCAGGCGACAGAATGACTCCGTCTCAAAAATAAAAATAAATAAAAATAAAAAGGCAGCTTGAATCCTATAGCCTATGGCCCTGAGAAATCCTGTGCCCTGGGATCCTCGCAGTCACCTGGGATTCCGAAGAAGCAGTCCCTATGAGCGCAGAACTAGCTGACCGGGTTCAAATCCCAGCTCTGCCCCAAACGAGCAGTATGAACTCAGACAAGTCTCTTAACTTCAGTGGGTGTGAGTTTTTGGACCCACCGACGGGGGGCAATAATGGTGCCAGTCTCGTGGGGTCGCCCCGAGGGTCAAGTGAGTTGACGCGGTGTGCGTGGCGTGCCTCGCTGCCTGGCACGTGGGAAGCCTATACACCTGGCAGAGTTGACGCCGTGTGCCTGGCGTGCCTCGCTGCCTGGCGCGTGGGAAGCCTGTACACCTGGCAGCACGTGTCCCTTATTAGTCCTGCCCTTGCAGTTGCCTGTTCAAGAACGAAATCAATCCCTTTTCTGTGATGTTATCAAAATAACCCACTCACGACACATTTGTCTGTCTACAAGGGAGGTCAGCAAACTTTTTTTTCAAGGGCCAGATAGTAACTATTTTCAGCTTTGCCGGCTATATGGGCTCCGTGCCAACTACCCAAGTCAGCTGTGGAAGGGCAAGGGCAGCCACAGACCATATGTGAAGAGTGGACCTGGCCATGATCAGGCCCATGGGCCTCAGTTTCCTGACCCCTGGAGGGGGTTGATGCCGGAGCAACACACATGCTGAATGTTAGACCTCCCTGTTCCTAAAAATCTCCCTGTCATCAGGGCTGGGTGCGGTGGCTCACGCCTGTAATCCCAGCACTTTGGGAGGCCAAGGCGGGCGGATCACGAGGTCAGGAGATCGAGACCATCCTGGCTAACACGGTGAAACCCCGTCTCTACTAAAAATATAAAAAATTAGCCGGGCATGGTGGCGGGCACCTGTAATCTCAGCTACTCAGGAGGCTGAGGCAGGAGAATCGCTTGAACCTGGGAGGCAGAGGTTGCAGTGAGCCGAGATCGTGCCACTGCACTCCAGTCTGGGTGACAGAGCAAGACTCCGTCTCACAAAAAAGAAAAAAAAAATCTCCCTGCCATCTTCAACTGGGAACTTCTCAGTAACTAGGCTCCTGGCAAGTTTCCCAGCTCCCTGTCCCCTTCTCTGACCACCTTCCAGCTCTTCTCCTGTTGCTCAGCCTATCTCCACCTGTCCCATTACTCGCCTCGCCCAGAGGAGCTTCGCTTTCTCCAATGTTTTCTTCCCAATCCAGGTCTTCACAGATTCCTTCTTTAATTAATGCAGTAATTGTCTGCTTGCCTCCCACACTGTGACCTGTGCCAGGAACTCAGGAGTTGGTGATGAATGAGACAGATAGCTTCGTCCTCCTGGAGCTTACAGTCTTGGAGGAGATGGGTTAATACATAATCACACTAAATAAACTTATGATTATAAAGCGAGAAATGCTCCCAAAGAAAACACACGAGTGAAACAGAAGGGAATAACAAGGACGTATCTGGGTTACAAGAGCAGGGCGAAAATAAATAAATAAATAAACAAGAAATGGTCAGAGAGCTGGAGTGTGGAGGGTAATGGGAGGGAAGGCCAGTGAGGGTGACAGGACCTCTACCCCAAAACAGTTTCTCAGTATCTTTTCTTAAATAAAAAATGTCCAGTTTTTTTTGTTGTTGTTGATTTTTTGAGACAGAGGCTTGCTCTGTTGCCCAGGCTGGAGTGCAGTGGTGTGATCTCGGCTCACTGCAACCTCTGTCTCTCGGGTTCAAATGATTCTCCTGCCTCAGCCTCCCAAGCAGCTGGGATTACAGGCACCCGCCACCATGCCCAGCTAATTTTTGTATTTTTTAGTAGAGACGGGGTTTCATTGCGTTGGTCTGGCTGGTCTCGAACTCCTGATCTCAAGTGATCTGCCCACCTCAGCCTCCCAAAATGCTGGGATTACAGGTGCGAGCCACCACGCCCGGCTCCAAAATGGTCTGTTCTTGAGAGAGTGCGTGTACCAGCTGTGAGATGGGCTTTTTTTGTTTGTTTGTTTTTGAGACAGAGTCTGGCTCTGCACCCAGGCTAGAGTGCAGTGGTGGGATCTCGGCTCACTGCAACCTCCGCCTCCCAGGTTCAAGTGATTCCTCTACCTCAGCCTCCCAAGTAGTTGGTATTACAGGCGTGCGCCACCACACCTGGCTAATTTTTGTATTTTTAGTAGAGACGGGTTTTCACCCTGTTGACCAGACTGGTCTTGAACTCCTGGCCTCAGGTGATCCACCCGCCTCTGCCTCCCAAAGTGCTGGGATTACAGGTGTGAGCCACTGCGCCCGGCTGAGACAGGGGTTTTTGATCCTGAAATCCCAGATCTTAACTACTTGTGTCCCTGGCAGGGTGGAGTGGTTGGCATCACCATCGACTGGCACTGTGACCTGGACTGGCACGTACGGCACTGCAGACCCATCTATGAGTTCCATGGGCTGTACGAAGAGAAAAATCTCTCCCCAGGCTTCAACTTCAGGTGTCTGCCAGGCCCCCAGCAGCACATTCTTCCTTGTGGTCCTGCGGGCTTTTCTACTCCCAGAACACTTCAGGTCTGAGAAAGTGTCCCCAGAGGGGAGCAGAGGGTCCTGGGCAGCTCTCATTCTGCCTGGGTGGCCATGCAGGAAGCCAGCAGGGAGAAAGATATTGAAGTCTCAAATCCCCTGTCCCTGGGTCTCAGACCCCTTCAGGCCCACCTGGCCAGGACTAGCTGGGGAAATTGCTGACATTGGGAGCTGGGGCAATGGCTGAGCACAGCAGCCCACACCTGTAATCAAGGCATCTTGGGGGGCTGAGGTGGGATTGCTTTGAGACCAGGAATCTGAGGCTGCAGTGAGTTGTGATTACACTACTGCACTCCAGCCTGGCGACAGAGCGAGACTCCGTCTCACAAAAAAAAAAAAGAAAAAGGAGTTGGGGCAAGAGTTGAGTACAACTTTCCCAGAATGAGGCCTGGGATCCTGCCCGGTGTTGGGGATGAGGCTGTACTCAGAGACCACTAAATCTCCTGTATCCCTGATGCGCTAAGAACTCCAGACCCAAGACAGTCCCCTCCATCACCCTCCTGCCACCTCATCCCTTCCCCAAGGTTTGCCAGGCACTTTGTGGAGAACGGGACCAACTACCGTCACCTCTTCAAGGTGTTTGGGATTCGCTTTGACATCCTGGTGGACGGCAAGGTGAGTGTCCAGTGTGAGGGTGGTGGCAGCTGAGACACATTCTCAGCTCCTGTGAGTACCTTTGGGCATCTACAGTTATAGACAACCGGAAGTTGGGTGGGTTCATCCAGCAGTTTTACTTCTAATAACAGATGGTCATGGGGCATGTCCAGAGCAGGGCTTTGCAACCTGTGGCCATGCCTCCCCACAGTCTCCTTGCGCTCAGGGAGGCAGAGCCAAGGTCAAAACCCAGGTCTACTGACCAGCAGCTGGTGGCCCATGTAGAGTCCGAGGTGGGGACAGTTCACAGCCGAGGGTGGGGAAGTCCCCTTGTCCCAGGTCCGGCCTTTTCCAGCTGGGCCCCTTCCGACGGTTAGCCCTTCTCTCCCTGGGTCCTGCCACCAGGCCGGGAAGTTTGACATCATCCCTACAATGACCACCATCGGCTCTGGAATTGGCATCTTTGGGGTGGTAAGTGCTGGGGTCACCGGCTCACTGTGCTGGGGTTGGCCCCTCCTCTTCCACAATTCAGTAGCAGCAAGACGTCCCTCACCCTAAAACTTGACCCTAACTGTCTATCATTTTTGAGCCAGCAGCTGCCCACCCCACCAACTACATAGATCTAAGAAAACCAAGGCCCAGAGCTGGGGCAGGACAGAGTTGGGGTGGAACCATCTTGGTCCCCTGAGAGTCCTGCAGGGCCTCATCCACCCTCCAGGAAACTGGCCTCCAGTGAGGTCAGATCCAGCCAGGGCCTCACCACCAGGGACTGAGGTGGGATGTGGAGGGCTCCGTACCCACCCCCGGATTCCCACGCTGTCTCCGTGCCCTTCCCTGACCCCAGGCCACAGTTCTCTGTGACCTGCTGCTGCTTCACATCCTGCCTAAGAGGCACTACTACAAGCAGAAGAAGTTCAAATACGCTGAGGACATGGGGCCAGGGGCGGTAAGAGAACCCCCCGAGCCAGGCCCTTCGAAGGCCTCCGGCGCTTGTGTCTGTGTTGGGGTGGGGGGCGTGGGCAGCTGCTTCCCCAGCACTGACTTGTATCCCCCAACCCTTGCACCACGTACACAGGCTGAGCGTGACCTCGCAGCTACCAGCTCCACCCTGGGCCTGCAGGAGAACATGAGGACATCCTGATGCTCGGGCCCCAACTCCTGACTGGGTGCAGCGTGAGGCTTCAGCCTGGAGCCCTGGTGGGTCCCAGCCAGGGCAGAGGGGCCTCCCCAGGAAGTCTCCTACCCTCTCAGCCAGGCAGAGAGCAGTTTGCCAGAAGCTCAGGGTGCATAGTAGGAGAGACCTGTGCAAATCTGAGCTCCGGCTCCGACCCCACACACCCTGAGGGAGCCCTACCCTAGCCTCAGCCGCTCCTGGTGGGGAATGGCTGGGGCTGGGCAGGACCCTCCCACACACCTGCACCCTAGCTTCGTGCTTCTCTCTCCGGACTCTCATTATCCAACCCGCTGCCTCCATTTCTCTAGATCTGTGCTCTCCGATGTGGCAGTCAGTAACCATAGGTGACTAAATTAAACTAAAATAAAATAGAATGAAACACAAAATTCAATTCCTCGGCTGAACTAGCCACATTTCAACTGCTCAGTAGATACGTGTGGTTAGTGGCTGCCATACTGGACAGCTCGGGGCATTTTCACTGTCAAAGAAAGTTCTATTAGACAGCCCTGCTTGAGCCCTGTTTCTTCCTGGCCTTCGGTTTCCCTGGGGAACTTATCGACAATGCAAGCTCCTGGGCCCACCCCCAGACCTCCTGAACCAAAAGCTCCAGGGCTGGCCGTATGATCTGTGTGGATGGCAAACTCCCCAGGCCATTCTGGGACCTAAGTTTAAGAAGTGCCGTCCTCGAACTTTCTGACTCTAAGCTCCTGAGCGGGAGTCAGACTTAGCCCTGAGCCTGCACTTCCTGTTCAGGTGCAGACACTGAACAGGGTCTCAAACACCTTCAGCATGTGTGTTGTGTGCTCACGTGCCACACAGTGTCTCATGCACACAACCCAGTGTACACACCACCTACGTGCACACAGCATCCTTCCACACTGTGTATGTGAACAGCTTGGGCCCTGCAAACACAACCATCTACACACATCTACACCCCCAAGCACACACACATGGTCCGTGCCATGTCACCTCCATAGGGAAAGGCTTCTCTCCAAGTGTGCCAGGCCAGGACAGCCCTCCCAGCCATGAATCCTTACTCAGCTACCTCGGGTTGGGGTGGGAGCCCCAGCCAAATCCTGGGCTCCCTGCCTGTGGCTCAGCCCCAGCTCCCAAGGCCTGCCTGGCTCTGTCTGAACAGAAGGTCTGGGGGAAGCGACGGGTGGAGTACAATAAAGGGAATGAGGACAAACCTCTGCCGTCCGTGCTCTCTTTCCAGACCTCTCTGAAACACAGTGTGCTCGTCTGTGAAATGTGGGGCTGAGCTGGGCAATCTCTGAGATCCCTCTGGATCTGCCGGTGGGGACCAGTGAGCCGACTCATACGCCCTGAGCCCAGCAGGGTCAGTGCTGGGTGGAGAGGTCAGCTCACCTCTGTCCACGGGTTGCCATCTTGGCACAGCCCTGAACATTGGCGCTCTTCCCAACCCTCCATGGCTGGGAGAGGCCTGGCAGTGGCACAAGTAGAGAACCCCAGGAGTGGCCTCGTGAAACAGTGGGGAGGAAGGGGCTGGCTGTGCCAGGAGGGAGATCTGGCGGAATCCCAAAGAGGGGAGGAGGGACTTGACTGAGGCTGTGTGGAGGGCCCTGCTGTGGGCATGACCTCAGGCCTGGATTTACAGCCAGGTAGGATCTCTGGGCAGCATCCCCCACCCAGTCACCATGCTCTGTCTAGACCAGTGCCGTCCCATAGAACCTTCTGGAATGATGGAAATATTCTCTATCTATGCTGTCCAATAGGGTACCCAGAAGCCACAGGTGGCCTCGGTGGAAATATGCAGCCAAGGAAATGAAATTCGTATTTTATTTACTTTTAATTAATTAATCAATATTTTTTTTTTGAGACGGAATTTTGCTCTGTCGCCCAGGCTGGAGTGCAGTGGCACGATCTCGGCTCACTGCAGCCTCCAGCCCCTGAGCTCAAGCAATTCTCCTGCCTCAGCCTCCCAAGTAGCTAGGATTACAGGTGCCCACCACCACGCCTTGCTAATTTTTTTTTGTATTTTTAGTAGAGATGGGGTTTCACCATGTTGGTTGGCCAGGCTGGTCTCAAACTCCTGACCTCAGGTGATCCGCCTGCCTCGGCCTTCCAAAGTGCTGGGATTACAGGCGGGAGCCACCATGACTGCCCAATTTACTTTTAATTAATTTAAATAGTTACATGTGACTAGTGGCTACCAGACTGGACAACACAGGCCAGCCCCTGCCATCTCCCTCAGGGCCTTGGCCTTCTGCCCTCTTCCCCAACCAAGACCTATCATTTAGATTTTATAAGACTGGAACTTCCTCTTCTGCCCCCCCTTCTTTCTCCAGACACACCTGCTTTTGCACTTTCTGCCCCCTTCCCTTCCAAGTGAGCAGAAAAGGGTCCCTCCTCTGTATTCAGCCTCACCACCCAGCCCAGAGGCTGCCCAGCAGAAGCCACCTCCATTCTCCTACCCCTACATCTGTCCCCCTCTTCTGCCTCCTCCTGGCCCAGGTTCCCCAGCAGCTCTGCCCCTCTCCCCTCACTGCAACCCTTCCAGAAAGACCAGTCCACACTTCCCTCTGCAATTGGCCTCCACCCCAACCACTTCTCCTAGGTGCCCTTGCCAAGGTCACTGGCAGTGTCCTGGTTGCCAAGTCTTAAGCAGACACTTGGGCCCCATATCCTGCTTGGCCTGACAGCTTCTCACATTGTTGTCCAAGCCTTCCTTGTCGAAAGATTTCCTTCCAGCAGCTCCTAGGACACACCCTTTCCTGACTTCCCAGCCTGTCTGGCGTGCAAGGAAAAGACAGGTTTCAATTGCAGCTCTGCCACAGTTCACTGTGTGTCCTTGGGGGAAGTGGCTTAACTCTCCAAGCCTCCTCTGTGAGTCAAGGATAATAACAACTTCTTTTTTTTTTTTTTTTTAAATAGAGACAGAGTTTCACTATGTGGACCAGGCTGTTCTCAAACTCCTGGGCTCAAATGATACGCTCCACCTCAGCCTTCCAAAGGGCTGGGATTACCGGCATGAGCTACTGCACCCGGACAATAATAGCTTTTAGTAGGGTTGAGGAAAGACCTGTAAACAGCACCTGGCATACAGTCGAGCTCTGCCCCTCAATCTATCCACCCTCTCAATGGTGGAGTCCACTAGTTGTTCCGGATATCTGTTCTCCCGGTAGCAATTCAGTCCTTGGTTCTTGGTTGGGCATGTGGCTGCCCAGAATGGAAGCTGCATTTCCCAGCTTTCTCTTGCAGCTGGGTCTGGTCATGTTAAGTAAGCTCAAGCGGTGTATGTGAAAGTGCCACGTGGCAACTTCTGGGAACTTTCCTGAAAAGAGAGCTGGTGCAGACCCTCTGCCCTCTTCTTCATCCTTTTCTCCACTCCACTGCCTGGAATGCGTTATGTGATTGCTGGAGCTCTAGCTGGTATCCTGAACCATGAGGTCAAAAGCCACACTCAAGTTGCTGGAATTATTCATTCAACAACATCCACTGAGCACCTGTGCCATGCGACAGGCTGTGTGCTGGACGAATCAGGCACAGTGCTTGCCATCCAGGAGCTCCCAGTCCCAATGAGGAACCAGCAGGTAAACAGATGCCAGGTACAAGGAAGTACCTGGGTGGGGCCACTAACCCATGCTGGAAGTGGGGAGGTCATGGAGAAGGTTTCCAGGCAGAAGTAGGATTGAATTGAACCCTGAAAGACGAGTAGGCGTTAAACAGGCAGGTGGCTGGGAGTAAGGCTATACAGGGCTTGATTAGACCTATTCTCACGGTGAGCCATAGAAAATGCCTCTCGGTGGACTTGTGTTCCTGAAAACTTGCTCTGGGTGCCAGGGAGAGAAAGGCTAGTAGGAGGTGAGACTGGATGGGGCTGGAGGCCAGGGAGGAGGCTGCTGCAGCAATCAGGGACAAGATGGTGGTAGCCTGAGCTAAGGGAGGGGAAGTGGGGTGGAGAGGAGTGGGCCGATTCCAGGGATAGTTAAGAGGCAGTATGGCAGGGCCTGGAGATGGACTGGTTGGAGCAGGAAACAGGGAGGCAGCAGGTGACTCCCAGGCTCCTGGCTCCACTTCGAGACAGGGACGCAGGAGGTTAGATTTGGGGGAAGGATATGGGGCAAGTGGTGGTGCCAGAGGATTCACACGCGGAGGCGTTAGGGGAAGAGGTGGCGGCAGAGTCCCCAGGAACAGCCACAGCGAAGGTCACCTCACTGTCCTGCTGAGTTCCCTCTACTCCCTCGGCCCTCGCTAGGCCATTCCTGTCGCCGGCTCACCGAGCAAGCACTTCACTCTGTGCTAAGCCACCTCTCGGCCTCTCTGCCCCCGCCCCGCAGAAGCTACACTCCTGGGCCTGCCATTCAAGGCCTTCCTCCCCGGGCCTCGCCCCTCCCTCGCACGCACCGCGCCTCGCCCGGGAGGGAGGGGCGCTCTGGCTCCTGCAGGCCGGGATGGGGGCGCAAAGGGTTTGGCGGGGAAGCACGGTCCCCTGCAGGCCCAGGAGAAGGGCCCACGCCGCGGCCGGGAGGGACTTCGGGGACCCCAGGACGCCGGGGGCGTGGCGAGGTCGGCCCCGCCGCAGGGGAGGGAGGGCCCCTACCGCGCCGCCCACCGCGGTCCCTTAGTCCAGGAGGGGGCGGGAGTCCCGGGCTCCGATTGGGCGGCGCTGGCGGGGCCGTTCGCTCCGACCAATGAGCGCCGGCCGGGCGCGGCGGTGGGCGGGGCAGCGAGCGCTGCCCGGAGCCGCGGCGCCCGCGGGCTGAGCTCGGCGATCTGGGCCCCAGCGAGGCGGTGGGGCGGGGCGGGGCGGGGCGGGGCGCGCAGCAGGAGCGAGTGGGGCCGCCCGCCGGGCCGCGGACACTGTCGCCCGGCGCCCAGGTAGGGATCGGCGGGGCGGGGACGCGGGCGAGGAGCAGGAGGACGAACGCCTTAACACCTGCCCCGAGCCTGCAAGGGAGAGGCGGGGGGGGTCTGCCAGGCCGCGTCTACGAGGGAGCTGGGATCTGGTCAGGGCGGGGATCCTTCCCCTTCTGTCTGCGGGGCCGGGTCTGCGGGGTGCCTCGCGGAGTCTGCTCGGGTCTGCGCCGGCCGCCGGGACCGCATCGCCGCGGGTGCCCCGCCGTCTGCGTTCTTCCCCGCTTCTGTCTGCGGACCGCATCCATCCCCGGTGCACTGTCCCCCGCGCCCGGCTCCTGGTGGAGGCCACGTCTGTGCGGAGTGGGCCCGGCCCGGGGCACCCACGTGCGGTTCTCCGCGGAGCGCTCCTCCCACGGCCCGCCGGAGCGTCTTCCTGCAGGAGCCGGGGGCGGGGTGGGAGATGAATGGGGCGGCGGCGGCGCGCGGCTCAGGCTGCGCAGGGTCCTGCCTTGGCTGGGGCGAGAGGGGGCGGCAGAGGCGGGCGCTGCGGCTTCGGGGCCCGGGAGGCGCAGGGCTGGTGGCTGGGGGGGTGTCCACGTGCGCAGGGACCTGCGTGTGCTGTTTGGAGGCGGGTGTGCGTGTGTCACGTGGACGCGGGAGTGTGCCTGTGTCTGCGTGGGGGGTGCAGGACAGGATGGAGTGGTGTGTGAGGGCGGGTCACGCGGACACGGGCGTGTGCCTGTCAGGGGAGGGGGTGTGCTCAAGTCTTGGCGTTGCAGGGCTGTGCAGAGAAGGCTGTGTCACAGGCCACAGGACCGGGCCTTGGTGGTGTCCGCAGGGCGGGCACAGGAGTGTGGGAGGGGCACACAGCCTGTGCGCGCTGGAGGATCCCAGGGAAGTGGCGCTGGCCTCCCCAAGCCCTGCCCTCTTTCCTCCAGTACATACAAATTGACCCCCCACTGCGTCCCAGGCGCACACACTCTGGGGACCCTTCGCCTCTTCCTCGGTCTCCCACCGTCAGTCCTCACAGCAGCCATGGGAGTCGTTTTAAACCTCACCTAACCGAGGCACTCCCCTGCTCACAACCTCCCCCTGGCTTTGGGGGCCTCCTGGGCTCTGTCCACCAAGCTCTCCCCACCCCCAAACCAAGCCCGGAGTCCCAGCCAGGAAATGACTCTCCTATATGCACAGTGCAAACTTCCATCCTCGCCTCATCCTGAAATCCTGCTCAGTGCTCAGAAGAGAGCTCAGGTGCCACCTCCTCTAGGAAGCCATCCCTGAGGCCAGCACAATGAGTGAGGGGGCTTTCTCTCCAGATGTAACTCCTCTTGCTATCAGGTGCCTCTTATGTGGGGAAGACTCCACTCCAGCCACGTCAGCCTCCCTGCTGTTCTTCATACTGAGCAAGCACTGTCCCCTCATGGCGTTTGCACCTGCTGGTCCCTGCACCTGAAATGCTCTTCCCCAGATAACTACACTGCCTACTGCCCCTTCCTTCCTTCAGGTGTCTGCTCCAGTCCTGCTCCCAAAAGGCCTTCCTCAACTACACTGTATCAGCAGCATCTCCCAGCCCCTTTCTCTTGATCCTTCTTACTCGGCTGTATTTTTCTTCCTATATGTACCACTTGACATATCATATCTGAATCACTGGCTTTCTTGTTTGTTGCTTCTTGCCCCCACGAGAAATTAAACTGTATGAGAGCAGAGACTTGGTCTTTTTGGTTCACTGCTGTATCTCCCCACACAGGCTTGCACAGAGTCTGGCAGACAGCAGGTGCTCCGTGACTATTTGTGCTTGCATCCCAGGCGTCCATGTCCCTGGCTGCTCCCTAGCCTGTGACCCCCCCCCCAACCTTGCCCCCAGTCTGAGGCCACTTCTGCTCCTCTATCCATGACATTCCGAGTTCCTGGAAGGCCAGGTCTGGGAGAACTATAACCACATTTGCATGTTGGAAATCCCTCCAGCAGCTGGTGTGGAGGATGGGGTAGGGTGGGGTGGAGGTGTTAGCCTGGAGTCAGGGAAGACCCACATAGTGGGAAACGAAGCAGTGGGTAGAATCTGGACTTCTAAGGGGTTTGACTTGGTGAGCTCACCCAGCAGGTAGTGGGGAGATCAAGGAGGGCTCAGAAGAGGCGATGTCTGAGCTGTCCTCCAGGCAGCAGAGGAGAGGGAGGTGTGTTCCTGGCAGAAGGCACAGCTTGTACTGAGGCCTGGCAGCAGAACAGAGTATGCAATTTGGGAAGCTGTGGTGTGGCTGCAGTGGAGAGTAAGTGTGGGGTTGTGGGGAGCAAGGGTGGGCAACAGGGAAAGGACGAGTGACAAGGAGGGCTCCCGGATTGCTGACCTGGGTCAGGAAAGAATGGGGAGGGTGTGGTACCCGTCTCGCAATGGAGACAGAGGAGGACGAGCAGGTTTGGGGAAGATGCTGAGTTGAATCTGGGGCCTGTTGGATCTGAGCTGCTCGGGAACATGGACGGGGAGGTGGCAGCTAGCTGGAAAGAGTGGGGCTGGAGGCACAGACCTGGTGTGGAGGATGAGGAGGGGCAGAGGATGAGGCCTGGAGACCATCAGCCTCCGTGGGTGGGCCAGGACGATGCGCTGGGGGTAGCTGTGCTGAGTCAGGCAACAGCCCGTATTGGTGCTTGGGGGCTCCCCAGGGATGGTGGGAGCGGGCGTCCTCACAGCAGGAGTCGTCAAGCATGACTTGGCACCAGACGCCTGGGCCTCCCTCAAGGGGACTGAGTCATCCCGGGTGGGGGCGGGAGCTGCGGAGGGCACCCGTTGCCAGGGCCATCCAGATACTCGCCAGGATCATAAACACAGCTCCAGTGAGGCGGCCCAGGCATGGGAGGACCACCTTCTGTGTCTGGCCTGGGTGGCCGCCACCTCTGCGGCTTTCCCTTCTGTTCGGTCCTCTGCTGGTCACGGCTGTCCATCCCCTCGCCTGGATGTAGCTGGTCCCCTGCCTCGGCTTGGCACTGGGGTTCACAGCGGCCTTCCAGCGCTCAGAATGAGGCCTGACCAGGGCCTGACCAGCTCCCAGGTGGAGCTACTTGAACCCGCGTGGATGGCAGCAGGGTCTGCCTGCTCTGGGGCTCCTTTGAGGGATGCAGCTGGATGGGGCATGTCCTGTGGAAGAAGCCAGGCCAAGTGGGCGTCTGGAGCCGGGGGCCCACATTCCTTGGGAGTGGCCAGACGCTTGGGGGGTGGGGCACAGCCTGGGAGGAAAAACCTGGGTGGGGGATATGTGCCAGGCCATCTTGGAGCTGGGGGCAGAGGTGGGGTTGGACCTTGCACATCAAGGCTCTCTTGGACGCTTCTAGACACAGCCACATCCCAGCCCCACAGTGCTGTGGCACAAACTACTCCTGTGTCCACACCTCATTCTGTTCCTTCCATCGCCCTGGGAGTTGGCAGGACAGTGGCCTTCTGCTTGATGCACGTGTTAGGAAACAGAGGCTCCAAGAGGCTCGATGACTTGTCCGAGGCAGCAGATCCCCAGTCTGGGGGGACAGGATTGCAGTAGTTTTTCCCAATGAGGGAGGGCTTGAGTCTGGCTGTTCACGGCCGCAGGACTAAGCCAGTGCCCATGCCCACAGGAATCCTTCGCTGTACCATGGGCCTGGTTCCCGGCCTGTCTGTCCATCTTTCTGTTTGCCCACATGGCCCTAGTTATCCACCGAATTAAGTTTCTACAGAGTATCTACTAAGGCCTGAGCTTGGGAAGGGCCTTGAGACACCCCCTGTGTGAGCCTCCAGATGGGCCTGGGTTTCCGCCCGGGGCACAGAATCCAGCCCAGCAGGCAGTGCCAGGCTGGTGGGACCAGTGACTATGGGGAAAAGTCCAGATATGAGCTCTGGGATCAGGCTCCCAGGGCCCCCAGGGGCGCGGACCACCCCCCTACCCTGGGCATAGGTACACGGAGACCTGCAGGCACACAGGCGCATAAACACACCTGCGCACACACACATCACACCGAGGTTTTCATCTCCATGCAGTGCGCTCCTGTGTGGGGACCCACAACACACACACACACACACACACGCCACCACCCTGGTCCACAGCCTGCGCACACATATTCCCTCCTGTGGGGACACACGCCCTCACACACGCGGCCGGGGCGCCAGGCCCTGTCTCCCGGACACGCGGCAGGAACCTCGGGCCTCCCCGGCCGGCCGCCTCCCTCGCAGACGCGCTTAGTCACCTGAATTTGATCCAGGCGGGAGGGAGGGATGGGGAGCCTGACGTCAGCCCTCGCGGCCGCCTTCCGCCCGCCCGCGCATCCATCTGGGCCTCAGCGTGTCCCGAGCAATCACAACAGCAGCCGCACAACAACAACTCACTTTTACGGCCTCCTTAGTGGCAGGCACTGTTCTGAGCGCCTTACGGGCGTTCCCTCCTCAGCATCTCACCACGTGCGGTGAGGTGAGGCCCGCTAGAACCCCATCTTGCGGGCGAGGAAAACCCAAGGCACAGAGGCGAAGCCACCTGCTCACGGGCTCCCAGCCAGGAAAGGGTGCAGCCTGGCTGCCTGGCTTCAGAGCCTGGGCGCCAAACCGGGTAACAGGGCTCAGGCTGGAACAGGAAACCTTCTGCCCCGACTTGCTGGGTGACCCCGGGCCCATCCCCACCCGCTGGGCCTCCCTCTACCTATCTAAGAAAAGCAGGGAAAGGTGTTCAAGGGTAAAGGAGGATGGCCTCTTGCTGGAATGGCAACCTCAAGGAAATACGCAAATTTTATGGGCCCGGGCAGCCTGTGGCTTCTGCCTGTGGCGGCTCTGAGTCCCGTAGTCCCTGCCTAGGGCCAAAAAGCAGGAGCTCCTGACTCTGGAGTTCATTCTGTTATATGTGCTGGGGCCTGAGGCTTGCTGGGGTTGCCTCTCTGAGGCTGCTTTCTCATCTGTCTAATGGGGACAGGGCTGTAACGATCACTATGGCAACCACTCATTTATTCAACAAATATTTATCGAGTTCCTATCACATGCCAGGCACTGATGATCTTTTGGAGACAAGGCAGATGAGCGTCCTAATCTCATGAAACTTACATTCGGGAGGGAAAAACAAGGCATGCGGAGTGAGGGGAAGGGGCGGAGGGGTGGGCCACCTGCTGGGAGGAGCCTGGCGGGTCCTGGAGGGTGTTCCCAGCTTTGGCTTCCTCCTTCCTATGCTGTCTGGTTTCCAAGCTCTCCCCGAAGCTCCAGCCCCACTCACTGTCCCTCTCACCTCCTCCAGGGAGGCCTCCCTATGCCACAGCCTCTCACCTCCTCTGGGGAGGCCTCCTTATGCCACAGCCCCACTCTCTGTCCTCTCTCACCTCCTCCAGGGAGGCCTCCCTGTGCCACAGCCCCACTCCCTGTCCCCTCTCACCTCCTCCAGGGAGGCCTCCTTGTGCCACAGCCGCACTCACTGTCTCCTGCCCTCTCTTCCAGGGAGGCCTCCCTGATACTCTAGCCTCACTCAGCCTCCTCACCTCCTTCACCTCCTCCAGGGAGGCCTCCTTGATGTTCCAGCCTCATTAACTCCCTCTCACTCCTCTGGGTCCAGCTTCCATGACTTTTCCTGTTCCTAGTGTGGAGCCTCCTCTCTTCCTTTCTCCATGTCAGCACCAGCCCCACCGCCTCCAGGCTTCTACTCATTCAACACACTGCGTACCGGGCACAGGGGGTCTGGACCTCACCCTTACCCTCAGTCTACCTCCAAACCCTGCTGTGAGCCTGGAAAATATGGGAAGGCAGGGAATCCACAGGACAAGTCGGGAGACTGGGGCTCAGAGTCGGGAAGGAGCTGGTCTAGGGCCCCTGGTGGGTCAGCAGGCAGGACTGGAACCCAGTCCTGGCTCCTCAGTGGCCGGTGGACTCCAGCCAGCCCTGCCTCGCTGACATCTGTCAAAGCAAGGGGATGGGGAACGAGCGGTAGAGCAGGCGCTTCACCATGCGTACTCTGGGTCTCCCTGAGACCCATGTTCTCAGTTGCTGTGTGGGTTCGGAGGAAGTTACCAGCAGACAGGAAGGATGGAGGGTCAGGAGTTCACTCACTTCCTTCTCCTGAGAACATGCAGAGTCCAGCGCAAGCAGGGGGAAGGGCATCAGGTTGGGCATGGCCAGCGCTCTACAAGCCTGGGACAGAGATGGGGGTCTCAGGCTGAGTGTCAGGGTTCAGTCCGGGGTCAGGATGTAGCCCAGGGTCATGGCTGAAGGTGAGGGCTGGGGGTCACCTCCCTGATGTTTCAGCCGCCACACAGTGAGTTTGAGAACATGAGTCTCAGGGGATGTCATGCCCCTGTTTCACCCCTCATTCCCCTCATTCTCATCCCCTTGCTTTTTTTTGAAACCGAGTCTTGCTCCGTCACCCAGGCTGGAGTGTAGTGGCGTGATCTTGGCTCACTGCAACCTCCACCTCCCAAGTTCACACGATTCTCCTGCCTCAGCCTCCCGAGTAGATGGGATTTCAGGTGCACGCCACCATGCCTGGCTAATTTTTGTATTTTTAATAGAGACAGAGTTTTGCCATGTTAGCCAGGCTAGTCTCGAACTTCTGACCTCAGGTGATCCACCTGCCTCGGCCTCCCAAAGTGCTGGGATTACAAGTGTGAGCCACCATGTGGGGCCCATCCCCTTGTTTTGACAGACGTCAATGAGGCAGGGCTGGCTGGAGTCGGGAGCCCCAGGGAAGTCTTCCTGGAAGCAGTGAGAGGGATGGGGGTAGGAGGCTGAAACATCAAGGAGGGCTCCCTGGAGGAGGCGGGTGGGTCTGAAGCATCAGCAAGGCTTCTGAGTTACTAGTGTCTAGCTCAGCTTCCAGGAGGCAGTGTCGGAGTGCTCTGCTGTCAAGGGTTGGGACTCATGACTCACAGGGCTGCATGCTGTGCTGGGGCTGAGCTGACCCTGGGCTCTGCCCCTTCCAGTGCTGCTGGGCCTCCAGGCTTCTGCCCTGTCTGTCCTGATTCCAGAATATCAGATTCTCTCTGCTTCCCTGTGAAGCCAGCAGGCAGAAGTGACTGCCTCTGTTACCGGCAGGGATACTGAGGCCTAGAGGGCTGGCATGCGGCAGAACCGATGTGAATTCATTCAGGTCATAGGGACAGACTTGAGTTTGGGTGTTGGCAATCCCGGTAGAGGGAACAGCCAGGGCAAAGGCATGGAGGTGGGACCCACAGCGCTGTGGCTACCTTACCTGGTAGCCAGCCTGACACCCAGGAGTGAAGCCTTCTCTGCCTTCTTTTCTCAGGTTCCCAACAAGGCTACGCAGAAGAACCCCCTTGACTGAAGCAATGGAGGGGGGTCCAGCTGTCTGCTGCCAGGATCCTCGGGCAGAGCTGGTAGAACGGGTGGCAGCCATCGATGTGACTCACTTGGAGGAGGCAGATGGTGGCCCAGAGCCTACTAGAAACGGTGTGGACCCCCCACCACGGGCCAGAGCTGCCTCTGTGATCCCTGGCAGTACTTCAAGACTGCTCCCAGCCCGGCCTAGCCTCTCAGCCAGGAAGCTTTCCCTACAGGAGCGGCCAGCAGGAAGCTATCTGGAGGCGCAGGCTGGGCCTTATGCCACGGGGCCTGCCAGCCACATCTCCCCCCGGGCCTGGCGGAGGCCCACCATCGAGTCCCACCACGTGGCCATCTCAGATGCAGAGGTTGGTGGGGCAGAACGAGGGGTTGTTCATGAGCCCCTCAGTAGTCTGCAATGAAGACTCTTTCCTGCCCCTGTCTGTGCCACACGGCTATCTAGCTTTGGTTTGCATACCCTCAGAGCTGGGGAGATCACTACCTAACAATATAGCTTCTTCCCAACCAGGGGAGCTCCAGCTGAGCCAAAGGCTGCCTTCCCTAAGTCCTGCTATTCCCACTCCCAGCCCAGGCCTAGGAAATAGGTCTCTCCCTGGTCCCCTATGTAGTCTTCTTAGAGATGTGAAGATAGATGCTATGTCCCCCTTCCCCCCTAACTCTTCTCCAGCTTGCACCCCTCGCCTCTAATTCTGCCTCTTAGAGTCTGCTGTGACTCAGAAGCGGCCGGCCTGCCTCCAGCCTCTGGGCTTCTGCTGGAGTTCTTGCCATTTAGGTCTGAAAGTGAACTCAGGTTCCAAGCAGTCTACAGATGTCAGGGGCTGAGCTTTCTGTGCCTGAACCCAGGCTCTCAGCCTCTGTGCCCAGGGCTCCTCATCTTGTCCTTGGAGTCTAGACCTTCTCATTCAGCTGCTTCTGGAAATAGTTGCTCATGGGTTTCTCATGGATTAGGGTCTTCCAGACTCCAGAATCCAGACAGGAATTAGCGTTTTCCCTTCACCACTGCTTCTGGGGAACAAGGCACAGCCATGGCGTCACCATCCATGTTTTCAAACATGAGCCACGTCTTCTCGTCACATACGGGGGCGATGGCACCACCAACTTCCCCATCCAAACTCAAAAGCTTGGTGAGACCTGGGGGTCCGGGAATGAGGAGCTTATGGCCAGAATTGGACCCTGAACGGGCTCTGAGGTAGGAGCAGTGCTGCCTCCGGACCCAGCTCCACCTGGTGCTCGCTCTTCCCCCACAGGACTGCGTGCAGCTGAACCAGTACAAGCTGCAGAGTGAGATTGGCAAGGTAGGAGTGGGCAGGCCGAGAGCAGTGGGGGCTTCGGGATTCTCTGTTTGGCGCTGCTCCTTCTCTCGTGTGGGAGGGAACGGGAGGCAGAGCCAGGCAAGTCCTAGCCTGGAGGTGAGGACAGTTTCGTGCCCTGTGGGAAGTACCCAGGTACCCAGGGGGAGGGTGGAAGATGGCTCCTGATTCCCGACTCTCTGAGTTCTTGACAGTGGACAAGGAGGGACTGAGGGAGGCATGGAGCCATGTGGAGCCAAGCAGGGGCAGTTACCAGGGCGCAGGAGTCCCCTCCCCATCTGCTACAATATTTGCCCGTGAGCCAGCTGGTGGTGGGTAGTGCAGATGGGGTGCAGGAGAGACCAGAGCTGCTCGGCTCCCCACCTCCTGAGCTGGTCCTGGGAGGGGTTGCCCTGTCCAGGTGGGGCTGACTGATGCCTATCTGCAGGGTGCCTACGGTGTGGTGAGGCTGGCCTACAACGAAAGTGAAGACAGACACTATGTGAGTCTGGGGATACGAGGGAGGTGTTGCCCAAGCCAGGCCCTGGAAGCCTGAGGGGTGGGGCAGGAGTTGTGCTTAGGAGATAGAGGACAGGGCTGCCTGAGAGTGAGCTCCCTGTCCCTAGGGGTATGCAAAGGAATGAGCTTCCTAACCCTGGGGATATGCAAGCAGAGACTGGATTCCTCTGAGGGGAAAGCTCCAGAAAGGCTTGCTGGGGGAATAAGGGGAAGGGCTAGGCTCAGATATGGCCACCCCCAACCCCGCTTAACACTTACCTGGGCCACACCCTCAGGGCCAGTAGCAGATGTCCAGTGTGCCTCTCCGGACCTCAGTCCACATGTACCAGCCTGTTCTAGCCCCTGGTGGCTGCACAGTAGTGACATTTCTGTCCCTCCTTCCTTAGGCAATGAAAGTCCTTTCCAAAAAGAAGTTACTGAAGCAGTATGGCTTTCCACGTATGTATCTTCTGATCCTGTCCCTGGGAGCTCCTAGCCTGGAGGCAGAGGAGGAGACCTCGATCCTGAGCTAGTTTTGGCTAGGAATGGGGTAGAGAGGGAGACAGCGTGAGCAGAGGCCTGGGGACAGAATGTGCCCTGTGGGTTGGGACAAGACCACGGGCATGCAAGACTCTTGCTTGAGACTGGTTTGGGGGCCACGGTGAGGCCCAGCCACCTGGAACAGGTGTTTGAGTTCTCTTCCTGGTCACAGGTCGCCCTCCCCCGAGAGGGTCCCAGGCTGCCCAGGGAGGACCAGCCAAGCAGCTGCTGCCCCTGGAGCGGGTGTACCAGGAGATTGCCATCCTGAAGAAGCTGGACCACGTGAATGTGGTCAAACTGATCGAGGTAGGGGGTGGTGGTGAGCAGGTGGGAACCAGCACCTGAGTCTCATGGGAGCCGCTTCTGGTGCTGGGGAGCCCCTAGCACAGACCCAGGGATCTTGCCCAGGTGGCAGATGTGGCTGAGGCCTCTGAGGACAGGGCCAGACTTGGGGTGGGGCTGCAGGAAGGCTTTGGGGGCCCAGCCTGGTCAGGGATGTTCCCAAGTTCCCATGGAGGGTGAGGGGCTGCCCCAGAGGCAAGAAGTGAGCCCCTCATTGCAGCTGGAGGGGAGGAAGGCTGGATGTCGTGTGGCGGGCCAGGTTGGGGGTCGGTGACTTCTGAGGCCCCATCAGTCTGGCACCACCTGTACACTTCCTGCTTCCTTGTCTGGGGTGGTTGCATGCATACTAAGGGTTCTGGGGCTGGCAAGGACCAGGAGGCCTGGGACCTCCAACCCCACGCCTCCTCAAGCCCCACCCCCATGTCTGCTCCCTCTGACCAGGTCCTGGATGACCCAGCTGAGGACAACCTCTATTTGGGTGAGTGACCTGGCTCATTCCCACAGCAGCTCACTCAGGGCTGGCCCAAGGGCTCCCTTGGGACATGTATGACCTTCAGGTGGGCGGTGTAAATGCACTGACCTCCTGGGGACAGAAGAAAAACACACGTTCTGAAGCCCTGGATTCCCTTGCCCAGCCCTGCAGAACCAGGCCCAGAATATCCAGTTAGATTCAACAAATATCGCCAAGCCCCACTCCCTGCTTCCCTCTGAGCAGCAAGACAGTGGATCCACGTGGGCTGCGCGCTCAGGTAGATGCAGGAAGCAGGCTGCATGGGTTCCCAGACACTGTAGCTCTGTGCCTCAGTTTTCCCACCTATAAAACAGGGATACTAGTGGTGTCTACCTCATAGGGTTCCTGTGAAGAGTAAATGAGTAATTATATGTAAAGCACATTCGTTATTATCCTTGTTAATAGTAATGTTATTATTTTAGTTCCTTGTGTCTGGTTCAGGGCTGGGCTTAGAGGAGGCCTCAGAAAATGGGGCAGAAGAAGAACTGGCTTAGGAATTAGAGGCTGAGGCTTTAGTCTCCACTCCCTACCCTACCTGCCTGTCTGCTATGACCTTTAGGAAAATTTCTGCCCCTTCTCTGTGCCTCAGTTTCCCCCTCTGTAAAAGGGCCCCATGCTGATGCTGATGGTTCTCACCTGGCACCTGAGGATCAGATGAGACAGGTCCATAGCAGACCCCACTCTCATGCATTTATTTGCTCTCATATCCCAGGGTCCCCTGTCCTGTCCCTGCCTCGAGTATGCCTGCATGCCTGCCCCCTCTCCTACCCTCCAGAACAGGGAGGGACCTTGGCATCGGCTGCTTTGCCAGCCAGCTACACCTTACCTTCTTGTCTTTTCTTTCAGTGTTTGACCTCCTGAGAAAGGGGTGAGTTCCCCGTCCTGATCAGGCAGGTCAATTCTCATCCAGGCCTTCCTTCCTTTCCCTCCCTGTGTCCCCAGCCCAGGGGTCAGCTACTCTAGGAGAAGTCAGAGACGGAGGCCCTGCCCTTAGGGGTAAATAAGAGACCAAGAGGACCATTCTTTGAAGGCTGATGGGGGTCAGTGAGGCTGAAATAGTCAGGGAGACCTCTGGAAAAGGGGACGGATTTTGACCCAGGCCTTGAAGAACTAGGAAGATAGGGATGGAGGAGAGGGGGAAGAAAGGAGTGTTTTTTAGGTAAAAGTATATAGAGGTGGGACTCAACTCTTACCGGTATTCAAATCACAAAGGGTTTTTCAGCTTTCCAACAAGTCTGTGAATGGAGTGGGTGGGATTCCAGTTGCTCCCATTTGTGAGAGGGAAAGCTAAGGACCAGAGAAGGTACGTGGCTTGCTCAAGGTCACACAGCAAGTCACTGATGGAGCCCAGGCTTCCACATGTCTGCCCTATGCGGCTTTTCAGGGTATTTACAGAGCAGATGACATGGAGTAATGAGCACGGGGCTGGGTGGTCCGGGACCCTCACTGCCAAGGCTTGAATGCAGCCTGCGGCTTGTCCCTTTGCCTGGGCGGCTCCCTACAGACCAATCTGGGGAGAGGGGCAGGGAGTGGTGTCCCTTTAAGACTTGGAGGCTTTCAAATGTTTTGACCTCTATCCAAAACAAGAAATATATATTTCTATTGCTATCCATATCTGTAACTGAAACCAAAATTTTACAAAGCAGCATATATCTTTACTACATGCAATATATTCTGATATATTCTACTTATTTAGGAAAAAAAAAAAAAAGCAGTTGCCACCCACTAAATTGATTTCATGATCCTCTCTTGGGTCTGGATCCACGGTTTGAAACAGTGCTCTAAATGGCATCTTTGCAATTGATTATGGACAATTAAGTACTTAGAAGAAGGAATATCAAGCCAATCAGAAATTAAGAGAAAGCTGATTTGAAATTATGATTGAAATGGGATATGTATGAGTATGTGTGCTTTAAATTTTTTATTATGTAGCAGAAAAAGCTAATATCTTGAGTTGTAGGGACTCATGTGGGCACAGGTTTCCCGGGACGTCCCGACCACCTGAATGGCCGGGTGCCCTGATTTCAGCTGAATGCCCCTCCCCGCATCCTTCTCCATAGGCCCGTCATGGAAGTGCCCTGTGACAAGCCCTTCTCGGAGGAGCAAGCTCGCCTCTACCTGCGGGACGTCATCCTGGGCCTCGAGTACTGTGAGTGCGGGGCAGCTTGCCCACTGGGGCTGGGGCTAGGGGATCTGGCAGGCGGCAGAGCCCAGGCTGAGCAGACTCTGAGCAGCTCCCGTCAGTCAGAGCTGACCTGCCAATCAGCTTCAGTGGGAGTGGGGCATGCACGTGTGGCGGGGCCAAAGGCCTTTTTGTGGGGTGGGGCGGGCGGTGGACTCCACTGGGCATGTGCCAGATCCTTCGTCGTGTCTGGTCCTGTGGGTCTGAGTCCTGGCTGTTCTGTATCTTTCTTCTGCTGAGTTCTTAGCCTAGCTTAGCGTTGCCACGGGGCTTCAAGAGATGTGGGAAGGAAGGGATTTATGTCCAGCTGCTGGGGAGAGTCTGTCCTGGCATGGGGCCGGGGCATGGTGGCAGGGTGGATTTACCTGTGAGGGGCCCTAGTCTGATAAGAGCTCAGGAGGGTGATGTGAGCTTGGCCTCTGTCTCATTTCATTCATTAGCTACATTCACTTGCCTGGGGGCATAGGGGTGAAAGACCCAGACCCGAGTTCACGGCCTAGTGGGAGGGACAGGAATCTAGGCAGGCAGATAATACAGCGTGGTGCCTGCCAAGGCTGGGGAGCCTAGAGGCTGTAGGAGTGCCGGGGGGCTGGGGAAGTCTCCCTGAAGAGGCTACTTATGATTCGGGTCCTGAGGGATGAGTAGACTTCCCTGCTCAGGTTTTGAGGGATGGGCGTGGAAGACGATGTGCCTGGCATAGGCGTGTACTCTGAGTCTGGGGAGAAGTGGAGTCTGGCTGAAGCCTCCAGTGGGCAGAGGAGGGCCGTGGTTAGTGAAAGATGATGCTGGAAACACTGTCCGGGCCACAGCATGAGGGCTGGGAATCCCTCCCCTGAGGTCTTTGCTGACTGCATCCTGCCAGCTCTGTGAGGCCCTGAGAGCTTTAAGCATGGGGAGGGGCGTGATGGGATTTGTGCCTGAGAAAGCTCTGTCTGGCAGCTGTGTGGTGGCTGGATTGGAGTGTGTCATCGGAGGGTGAGAGGCAGCCAGCTGGCCAGGGAGGAGGCTGTTTCTGCAGCCCAAGTGACAGATGGTGAGGCCTGGATTAAGGCAGTGGCAGCAGGATGGGGATAGGAAGGAGGTGGGGTGGTCAGCATGGAGTGACTTGCCGGTCTGGGGAGAGGAGAGCCCCTAGACACCTAGGGTCCTGGCGTGGGTTGGGGACCAGGGGAGATGCCCATCTCTAAAATCTTAGCTTGGGCCAGGCGCAGGGGCTCATGCCTGTAATCCCAGCACTTTGGGAGGCCGAGGTGGGTAGATCACCTGAGGTCAGGGGTTTGAGACCAGCCTGGCCAACGTGGCAAAAGCCTGTCTCTACTACAAATACAAAAATTAGCCTTGTGTGGTGGTGGGCACCTGTAATCCCAGCTACTCGGGAGGCTGAGGCAGGAGAATCGCTTGAACCTGGGAGGTGGAGGTTGCAGTGAGCCGAGATCACGCCATTGCACTCCAGCCTGGGTGACAAGAGTGAAACTCCATCTCAAAATAAATAAATAAATAAATGCATACATACATATATACATACATACATAAAAATAAAAAATAAAATCTTAGCTTGGTTTCTTGGGAGCATATTCTTTCCCTGGGGGAACAGGGTGGGGATCTGGCTGAGGTTTGACCTGCAGTGACAGAAACAGGACTGTCTTTATCCTGCTCGAGCCTCTCCTTTGCCTTCAGATTAAGACTCTCTTTGCACATATGGGGAAACTGAGGCACACAGAGGGGAGGGCTTTGCAGAAAATCCCTACCAAGGGCCTAGAGGCATGGGATGGGAAGGGGACATTTTACCCCGGTACGGTCAGTGGCAGGCACAATCCTGTACCAGCTTGGCTCCACCTCCTTCCTGTTGTAGTCCCTTCTTTCCCCTGAAGTCCTGTTGTCTGCTATCCCCTAGCCTCCACAAAGAAACGAGTTTATCTTACCTGGTTCTTGGGTAAAGCCTCATCAGGACCCAGCTAATCACAGTGAAGGGCTTCCCTGGGGCAGAACGGTTAGCGCCAGGGGCTGGACAGGTGGATGAACAGAGGCACGAGGGCGCTGAAGACCTGCCTTGTGATTCTGGCCCCAAGAAGAGAGAGTTGAGGCTGCCATGAGAGGGCTCGGTGGTCAGGGTGGCCCAGGCCTGGTTCTCAGTTGATGGGGGCAGGTGCAACGATGCAGATGATGAGAAGCAGTTGGATCTGGAATAGATGTGAGAAGCTGAGCTCACAGACCTTGCTGATGAGCAGGATGTGGGGTCTCAGAGGAGGAATTGAGGATGATCCTGAAGTTTTTGGCCTTTCACAGAATGGAAAAGAATGGGGAGCAGCAGGGGCGTTTTGTTTTGCTTTGTTTTGATTTTGTTGGTGGTAGGCATTGCAGGCAGAGAAATCAAGTTCTGAATTAGACATGTTATTGCACTGTGTTCAGATATACAGAGACATATATCGATGCCTAGCTGCCTAGTTATCTACCAAGATGTCTATTGGAAATCTATGTGGGTAAAGAGCTGGAGTTCAAGGGAGAGGCTAGGGTTTGAGATAAGAACATGAGACCACTTTCCATGGTCAAATATCCACCCCCCTGAGCTTCTGTGCCCTGAAGGGTGTGTCAGATTCCTTGTGTGTGCCTGGCACATAGTAGGCAATCAAGAAAGTGCCACTGGTTTTATGGTTATTGTTATACGGCACCCGCCTTCTCTGCCCGCAGCCTCCCTCTCCTCTTCTCCCTTCCTCTTTCTTCTCTCGCCTTCTCTCCTCCCTCCTCTCCAGCATCCTGGGGTCCGTTGGTCCAGATGAAGGTACTTGCCAAGGAGGGAGCCCACAGGTCGATGGTCGCGGGATGGGGTCAGTGGGGTCATTGTCTCTCTTGGCTGGGACCTTACCAGTCATGTCAGCTTGAGCCACCTGTCACTTCGTGGTGGTGCTGGGCCCAGAAAGCAGGGCAGACCTCCAGCCTATTAGGTCATTTCTGATTTGGGATTCGTCCTACTATATGTGGCTGACCTTACACCCCAGCTGTGTCATCCTGCTTGTCCCAAGGCCTGGGGTGCCATCCATCTCTCTGAAACCCCATCAGCCCAGATCCCGAGGGCTGAGATGGTACCTCTGTAGGATAGCAGAGTCCCTACAATCTTACTCTCAGTCCCAGCAGCAGGGACATCTTTGCCTAGCCTGGGTGGGGGATGGAACTGGAGAAAGGTTTTGATTGGCTTTGGGCCTGCAGACGGCACTCACAGGGAAGGGGCAGAGCTAGCCTAGGAAGAACTCTGCTCCCAGCTGGGGGCGGTGGCTCACGCCTGTAATCCCAGCACTTTGGGAGGCCAAGGTGGGTGGATCACCTGAGGTCAGGAGTTCAAGACCAGCCTGACCAACATGGCGAAACCCTGTCTCTACTAAAAATACAAAAAGTAGCCGGGCGTGGTGGCAGACACCTGTAATCCCAACTACTCGGGAGGCTGAGGCAGGAGAATCTCTTGAACCTGGGAGGTGGAGGCTGCAGTGAGCCGAGATCACGCCATTGCACTCCAGCCTGGGGGACAGAGTGAGACTCTGTCTCAAAAAAAAAAAAAAAAAACCAAAAAAAAAAACAGCAACAACTCTCCTGCCCTAGTTTCCTCTGACCTCCCCACTCAGCAGCAGATCCCTTGTTTGTCATGGAGAGGGTGCTGGACTTGGAGTCCAAAGACTCCTAAGATTCCAGTCCTGGCTCTGCTGCTCACAGCCTGGGCTCAGTGTCTGCACCTGCGTGGAGCAGATGGCCCTGACGTCCTCCTCCCAGGTCGTCACCAGACGAAAGTGTGCATGGGCTGGGATGTCCCGGCCGGCGTCCCTGGCTGTGCAAGGACGGGTGTGGGGTCCTGGCCAGCGGTGCCCAGGCCAGCGCTCAGCTCAAGCTCCCCTTCTCTGCAGTGCACTGCCAGAAGATCGTCCACAGGGACATCAAGCCATCCAACCTGCTCCTGGGGGATGATGGGCACGTGAAGATCGCCGACTTTGGCGTCAGCAACCAGTTTGAGGGGAACGACGCTCAGCTGTCCAGCACGGCGGGAACCCCAGCATTCATGGCCCCCGAGGCCATTTCTGATTCCGGCCAGAGCTTCAGTGGGAAGGTGACTCGCAGGCCCTGGGCCAGGCTGGGGTTCAAGTGGGGGGCGTAATAGCTTGCCGCAGTGGCCCAGTTTCTAACCTGAGGGTGCCAGGGTCTTTGTGTCTAGGGAGTGACATATTTGCCTCTTCCTTGGAGCCTGACAAACTCCACAACTTTGGCCTTCTCCTGTTTTCCAGCAAAGTGGTCCCAAATCTCCCTTGCAGATATTTACTGTTGGTTGCTCTGTGCTGGGTTCTGGACTGGACTGTGGAAGAGGCAGAAACAAAGAGAACCCTGTTTCCTGCCCTCTGGATGGTTTCGGGGGAAGTTGGGGGTCCCCGCAGATCTTGGGACATGGCAGGATTTGAACTGGCCCTTGAAGAATGGGGAGGATCTGAGCAGGACCTGGAGCCTAGAGAATAAACCAGAGAACAGAAGGGCTCAGGGTGGGGGGCAGAGGGTATAAAGGGCCTGGAAGTTTGGGCTTTCTCCTAAGTGACAGGAGCGTAGGCAAAGTTGTCTGAACAAGAGGTTACACGGTCTGGCGCAGTTCCCTGGGCACATGGCTGTTTCACCTATGGAGTGCCAGCCACCCCACTGCCAGGGAGGCTGTGGGTGAGAGGCATTTGGACACGTGTGAGTATCCAGGAAAGAGGTCAGGAGGCCGGGCACAGTGGCTCATGCCTGTAATCCCAGTGCTTTGGGAGGCCAAGGTGGATCTCTTAAGGCTAGGAATTTGAGATGAGCCTGGGCAACATAGCAAGACCCCATTTCTACAAAAAAAAAAATAAAAACATTAGACAGGTGTGGTAGTGCACACCTGTAGTCCCAGCTACTTGGGAGGCCGAGGTGGGAGGATCGCTTGAGTCCAGGAGTTGGGGGCTGTAGTGAGCTGTGATGGTGTCTAGCCTGAGTGACTGAGCGACACCTTGTCTCGAAGAAAGAAAGAAAGACGTTGGGGATGTTGATAAAGATTTTTTGAAATGTTTTATTTTGATATAATTCTAAATTTACAGAAAAGTTGGAAGAATAGTACAAAGAAATCCCCTATATCTTTTTACCCAGATTCACCAATTATTGACATTTTGTCCCACTGGCTTTTTCATCATCTTTCTTTTTTTTTGAGCCGGAGTCTCGCTCTGTCGCCCAGGCTGGAGTGCAGTGGCGCGATCTCAGCTCACTGCAAGCTCCACCTCCTGGGTTCACGCCATTCTCCTGCCTCAACCTCCCGAGTAGCTGGGACTACAGGCGCCCACCACCACGCCCGGCTAATTTTTTGTATTTTTTAGTAGAGACGGGGTTTCACCGTGTTAGCCAGGATGGTCTGGATCTCCTGACCTCGTGATCCGCCCGCCTCGGCCTCCCAAAGTGCTGGGATTACAGGTGTGAGCCACCACGCCCAGCCAGAAATTAATCATTGATAAGACTTATATATCGGTCAGGCATGGTGGCTCATGCCTGTAATTCCAGCCCTTTGGGAGGCCAAGGTAGGTGGATCACCTGAGGTCAGGAGTTTGAGACCAGCCTGGCCAACGTGGTGAAACCCCGTCTCTACTAAAAAATACAAAAATTAGCCGGGCATGGTGGCGGGCACCTGTAATTCCAGCTACTTGGGAGGCCGAGGCAGGTGGATCACCTGAGGTCAGGAGTTTGAGACCAGCCTGGCCAACGTGGTGAAACCCCGTCTCTACTAAAAAATACAAAAATTAGCCGGGCATGGTGGCAGGCACCTGTAATTCCAGCTACTTGGGAGGCTGAGGCAGAAGAATCGTTCGAACCCAGGAGGCAGAGGTTGCAGTGAGCTAAGATCGTGCTATTGCACTCTAGCCTGGGCGACAGAGTGAGACTCTGTCTGAAAAAAAAAAGACATACATAATCCACAGACCTTATTTAAATGTTATCAGTTGTCCTGATACTGTACTTCATAACTTCTTCTTTTTCTGGTCCCGGAATCCAATCGAGGACCACTTGCTGCATTCACCTTCTTGTCTGTGGTATCCTTTCATCTGGAAGAGGGCCTTGGCCTGCCGTTGTCTTTCCTGATCTTGACATTTTGGAAGACAACCAGCCTGTTATTTTGTAGAATGTTGTCAGTTTGCATTTGTCTGGTGTTCCCTGGTTGGATTCAGATGATGCATCTGGGGCAGGAATATGTAGGTAGAGATCGAGAATCACTCATATAAGCGAGAAAGTGGATACCAGAAGAGGTGGCGTTCCGGAGCAGAAGGTAGAGAGAGCACACGCTGGAGTCCAGGGCGCGGGGAGGCCCAGGGGTGTTTGGGAGCCCAGAGGAGTTGTTGCAGTGGCGGTGGATGAGGGCGTGAGAGGACAGGGCCTCTGTGTGGGCAGGGGCTGTTTGCAATATCAGGAAGAAGGTGGATTATGAGGAGAAGGGATGACTCCTTGAAGCCCGAGCTGGTTTAGTGAGCAGAAGTTCCATATATACCATCATTCCTGGGGTGCGTCTGTGGCACGGGAGCGGCCCGTGTGACCCTCTGGATGAAGGAGGTTTTGTACCTGTTGAGTTGGAAACGTACCTGGTTAGAGTCTTTCCCAAGGAAATCCAGAACCCCTGGAGGGTGGAGGCCTTGTTCTGGCCGCCCCTGTGTCCTCAGCACTCAGCACGGGGCCCAGCATCGGGCAAGTACCGCGGAGTGTTTGTCGAGTGAGTGCATGACAGAGGAAAGAGGTTCCCTGCAGGCCTCTCCTGCAGCCCGCTGGAGCTGGGTGGGCAGAGGTGGCTGTGCCTGTTGGGGACTGATGTGAGCATGTTTCTTTCCAGGCCTTGGATGTATGGGCCACTGGCGTCACGTTGTACTGCTTTGTCTATGGGAAGGTGAGTGCCAGGGATGCCAGCAGAGCTGGGGCGGGTCCAGTGAGGCGGGCACGGGCGACGGATGCAGGCTCTTCCTTTTTGTCCTTAAGTGGCTTTTGAAAGAGCCCACCTGGCTCAGAGAAGGCTGAGAGAGAAGAGGCTTTTTCTATCTTTCTCTGGTCCCCTGCGGAGCGATTCTCGCGAAGGAGTCGCAGGACAGCAGACACCTAAGGGGAGGTGCCGACGATGGTGTTGCCACCGCCCCAGCCAGAGTGCTCCCCGTCCCTCTGTCCCTTGACGCCATTCACTTATTGAGCCATGTGTTCACTCCCTTGCTCATTTATTCGACAAATTGTCCTTCACCCCTACCCTGGCTGAGGCTGGACCCTGGGGACACCCAACGCTGACGTATCGGTGATCCCTGCCCGCAGGTGTGCCTGCTCTGGTGACCACACTAAGGGGCAGGGGGGAATTTCAGTGAACATGTTCCCAAGCCCCAGGCCCTGGGAGTGGAGGCCTGGCCACAGGTGGCGGTAATGGTGGTGGGTGCACCCAGCCTGGCCTGGCCTGGCCGCGGGTGGCAGTAACGGCGGTGGATGCACCCAGCCTCATTGTTCCCTCAGCAACTCATTCATTCAGTCAACATTTGTTGAACATTTACAGTGTGAGTTGAGGTCCTTCTCATGTAATGGGAGCCCAGACCTGCCCCCTACCCCTGCCCCCACCAAGGGAGGGGGGTTGATCCCCTGGCACAGGTCGAGGCCCTGGACCCACATCCTTTGTCTGCCTCTCCACCCCACAGTGCCCATTCATCGACGATTTCATCCTGGCCCTCCACAGGAAGATCAAGAATGAGCCCGTGGTGTTTCCTGAGGAGTGAGTTGTCCACCCAGGGGAACAAGGGGGCTACCACCCGCTCCTGGTGTCTGAGTTTTAGCAGAGCTTTTGCCCTCTGAGGACCCCACCCCAGCCTGCAGATATGAAGGTGGCGGTGCTGTTCCCTGGGAGGGACCCCTGAATAGATGGACGGGAGGGACTCTGGAGCCAAGGGTCTCCGCAACGTCACTGTGTGGATGGGAACCCTGAGATCCAGGGTTGGCCAGGGATGACCACAGGCATCATTCACACCACTCCTTCACCGCAGGCCTGCCTGGGGTCAGTGGCGCCAGCCCCACCCAGCCCCTGGACTCAAGGGGAACTTCTCCTTCCCCCACTCAGGGTCAGGGAACTTCAAGATGCCAGTGCGTGCTCCCCATTTCACAGATGGAAAAGAGGATGCTCTGGAGGAGAGCGGTCAGGGGGCTGGGACTCAAGCCACTCTTCCTCCCCACTCTTCCCATTGTGACCGAGGTCTCTGAGCGTAGCAGGGACGTCGGGGAGGCCTCTTGCTCATGCATGGTTCGCCTCATGACGGCCACCGTGGCAGCCACAGCCTGAGCTCCCAGGCTCCTCTTTTCAGCAGTGGATTTCAGGAGTGAAATGGAGGCCGGGTGCGGTGGCTCACGCCTGTAATCCCAGCACTTTGGGAGGCTGAGGTGGGCAGATCACCTGAGGTTAGGAGTTAGAGACCAGCCTGGCCAACATGGTGAAACCCCATCTCTACTAAAAATACAAAAATTAGCCAGGCGTGGTGGCGCACATCTGTAGTCCCAGCTACTCGGGAGGCTGAAGCACGAGAATTGCTTGAACCCAGGAGGCAGAGGTTGCAGTGAGCCTGGGCGACAGAGCAAGACTCTGTCTCAAAAAAAAAAAACAGAAGAAAGAAACTGAATAAGGCCGGGTGCGGCGGCTCACACCTGTAATTCCAGCACTTTGGGAGGCCAAGGAGGGCGGATCACGAGGTCAGGAGATCGAGACCATCCTGGCTAACACGGTGAAACCCCATCTCTACTAAAAATAGAAAAAAAATTAGCCGGGCGTGGTGGCGGGTGCCTGTAGTCCCAGCTACTCGAGAGGCTGAGGCAGGAGAACGGCGTGAACCCGGGAGGCAGAGGTTTCAGTGAGCTGAGACCGTGCTACTGCACTCCAGCCTGGGCGACAGAGCGAGACTCTGTCTCAAAAAAAAAAAAAAAAAAAAAAAAACAAAAAAAAAAAAACAAAAAACAACAAACAAAAAAAGAAAATGAAACGGGACTTGTACTCAGCGACTCCTGCTCTCTTCTGCTTATTTCCTGTGTGGTCCCCAAGCCCTGCTGAGCCCTCCTCTTCCCTGTCTCTGGGCCTTGTTGCCACTTATACCCCTTGCCTCATTCAGGCCTCAGGCCCCTCCCCAGACTTATCTAGCCACCTTCCCCCTGGTCTCGCTGCTGCTGGCCTCCCTCCAGTCCAGCCAACACATTCAGGCGGGGACAGCCCTGATAAAGCACAACAAATCTGCCTGCATCTCTTGCCTGAAGTTTGTCTGAAGCTTCTCAAAGCCACACCCTGGCGCTAGCATTCACACGTCTCCGGGTTCTGCCACCCGCTCGTCTGGGGCCGCCTCACTCCCTTTCCCGAGCACCAGCCAGCTGGCTTCTGTCCATTTCCTCCTCATCCTGTGGTTGCCTTCCCTCCCTGCCTCCACAGTTGTACCCCTGGTGCCTCTCTTCCTGCTATACCCCCTGCTGAGGGGTGTCTTTCCCCTCAGCCCAGGAATTTTAAAAGGGATGAAGCATCTAAGACAACAGGGGGAACCGAAGTCAACAGTCCTGAGAGTGGCTTTCTGCTCCCTAGTCTTGGAAGGATGGGCTCCCCAAGACCACTGGTGGCAAAGAAACCTGGGGTTTGGCCGGGCGTGGTGGCTCACGCCTGTAATCCCAGCACTTTGGGAGGCCAAGGCAGGCGGATCATGAGATCAGGAGATCGAGATCATCCTGGCTAACACGGTGAAACCCCGTCTCTACTAAAAATACAAAAAATTAGCCGGGCACGGTGGCGGGCACCTGTAGTCCCAGCTACTCGGGAGGCTGAGGCAGGAGAATGGCATGAACCTGGGAGGCGGAGCTTGCAGTGAGCCGAGATTGCGCCACTGCACTCCAGCCTGGGCCACAGAGCGAGACTCCATCTCAAAAAAAAAAAAGAACCCTGGGGTTTGGGCAGAGAGAGTTGGAGCTGATGTGGCGCTGAGGGGGCTGCTCCCTCCCATCTGAGTCTCCCATCTCTGCCTGCACTCTTCTGGCTGGCACTGTGCCAGCCTGCTAACCTCCCTGGGCCTCAGTTTCCTCCTCTGTCAAATGAGAGAGGATCTTCTCTGGGTGTAGAAAAGGACGAGGTGGTGAGTGGGTCTGAAGGCCTCTGGTGTCCCATAAAGCGACTCTCCTCACCATCTTTGCCACCCATTGGGGTGTCCAGCACCCATGGAACTCTGTCTGTGCCTCTGTCCTGGAGGGAGACTTGACCTCCTGCTCAGGAAAGGCTCTCCAAGCCCTTGTTGTGAAATTCCTGCCTGCTGTCCGGAACTCAGTCTTCCCATCCGAGGGACGAAGGTTTCGGGAAGAGAGGTGGACAGGAAGGGGTCCTCATCAGCGGTCCCACCCTCCTCTCCTTCCTTCGCCCTCTCCAGGCCAGAAATCAGCGAGGAGCTCAAGGACCTGATCCTGAAGATGTTAGACAAGAATCCCGAGACGAGAATTGGGGTGCCAGACATCAAGGTCGGGGAACTGGGGGTCTTGGGCTGGGCTGGGACACAGAAAACAGGAGTCACTTTCCCTTTCTGGAGGGATCAACACCAGGATGCATGTGTGTTGGGTTTGAGTCTGTGGACTTTGGACCCCTCCAGGTGATTCTGGTAATGGCCTGACCTCTCCCCCTCTCCCTGCCCTCCCGGCCCCGACAGTTGCACCCTTGGGTGACCAAGAACGGGGAGGAGCCCCTTCCTTCGGAGGAGGAGCACTGCAGCGTGGTGGAGGTGACAGAGGAGGAGGTTAAGAACTCAGTCAGGCTCATCCCCAGCTGGACCACGGTGGTAAGAGAGCCGGGGTAGATGCTCCCTTGTCCTGGAGGGCCTGGGGGACCTGAGCCTTGCTCTGTGCCTGGCTCCTTGGGGGGACAGAGGCCTGCCTGGCCAGCCAGCTGTGATCCTGGGCCACTGGAGCCGCCATTCTGCTGGAGGCCCATGGAGAGGGAGGTCTTGTGGTCGGGAGACCAGGAGGCTTGGTGAGGAGAGTGACTGATTTAAAGAAATAGCGGGCGTGGGGCCGGGCGCGGTGGCTCACGCCTGTAATCCCAGCACTTTGGGAGGCCAAGGCGGGCAGATCACGAGGTCAGGAGATCGAGACCATCCTTGAAACCCCGACTCTACTAAAAATATAGAAAATTAGCTGGGCGTGGTGGCGGGCGCGTGTAGTCCCAGCTACTCGGGAGGCTGAGGCAGGAGAATGGTGTGAACCCGGGAGGTGGAGTTTGCCGTGAGCCGAGATCGCGCCACTGCACTCCAGCCTGGGCCACAGAGCGAGACTGCGTCTCAAAAAAAAAAAAAGAAGAAAAGAAAAGAAAGAAATACCGGGCGCGGTGGCTCACGCCTGGAATCCCAGCACTTTGGGAGGCCGAGGCGGGTGGATCACGAGGTCAGGAGATCGAGACCATCCTGGCTAATACGGCGAAACCCCACCTCTACTAAAAATACAAAAAAATTAGCCGGGCGCAGTGGTGGGCACCTGTAGTCCCAGCTACTGGGGAGGCCGAGGCAGGAGAATCGCTTGAACCTGGGAGGTGGAGGTTGTAGTGAGCCAAGATCACGCCATTGCACTCCAGCCTGGTTGACAGAACGAGACTCCATCTCAAAAAAAAAAAGAAAGAAATAGATGGCCCTTGCTCAGCGGCAGCAGTCACCGTGACTGGAAGAAGCATTTCATTCCGTCCAGACAGTTACTGAGCTTCCGTTCTCCAGGCACTGCACAAGGTGCCGAGGACAAGGCAGGGGAACGGCCTGGGCAGCCTTTGGATTGGAGGAGTGGCCCCAAAGCCCACGTATCAGTTAGGCGGCGCCTGCGTCTCCCCCAGAGCCCACGTATCAGTTAGGCAGCACCTGTGTCTCCCCCAGAGCCCACATATCAGTTAGATGGGCCTGCGTCTCCCCCAGCGCCCGCGTATCAATCAGGCAGTGCCTGCGTCTCCCCCAGATCCTGTGTATCAGTTAGACGGTGCCTGCATCTCCCCCGTGCCCACGTATCAGTTAGACGGCGCCTGCTTCTCCCCCAGAGCCCACGTATCAGTTAGACGGCGCCTGCTTCTCCCCCAGAGCCCACGTATCAGTTAGACGGCGCCTGCTTCTCCCCCAGAGCCCACGTATCAGTTAGACGGCGCCTGCTTCTCCCCCAGAGCCCACGTATCAGTTAGACGGCGCCTGCTTCTCCCCCAGAGCCCACGTATCAGTTAGACTGCGCCTGCTTCTCCCCCAGATCCTGTGTATCAGTTAGACGGCGCCTGCTTCTCCCCCAGAGCCCGCGTATCAGTTAGACGGTGCCTGCATCTCCCCCAGATCCTGCGTATCCATTAGACAGTGCCTGTGTCTCCCCTAGTGCCCGCTCACATTTCGGTTTTGCTCCTCTTCCTCTGCTCAGCTTCTGTGTTGGCACTTGGAAGTGATTCACATAGTCCCCCGTGGCCACCTGGGGCCACTGAGAGCCCTGCCCTGCCCCTGCCTGACAGTCAAGTGAGTCAGGGCAAGCACAAGGCCAGGAGGAGAGCCAGGGCCACTGCCGTTGGCGGGGCCTGGCCTTGCACTTTATCCCCCTCTGCAGGGTCCCGGCCCAGCTGGGACCAGCTGGCTCAATCCCTGCCCCCTATGCTTACTTGACTCTGTGGGGTCGCTGGAACCAGGCAACTCCCACGGGGTCCCCATGACCACTTGCCTGATCTTAGCCACCATCTCCTCTCTCTCAGACCACTGGAACAACCTCCCACGCTGTCCCTTGCTTCTACTCTCACTCCCTGTCCCCCTGGTCAATGCTCAACTCAGCACCCAGCATGGTCCCAGTGGCATGAGTGTGTCACCTCCCAGCTCAGAGCCTGCTTCTCACTCGGGCTGCTGTGTCCCTCAGAATCAGACCTCCAGCCTGTGCCCCACCACCCGCCCTGTTTTTCTGCGGGGCTCGTGCACCGTCCCGCCATCATGCACTCGTCTCTGGCCACGTGCCATGGAAGGGGCTGCCCCAGAGCCTTCAGACTTCGCTTCCCTCTGCCCGGGGAGTCCCACCCCCGATGGCCACGGGACTCGCTCCCTCACTTCCTTCGGCTTTTTACGCCAGGGTCCCCTCCTAGAGAGAAGCGAGCCTTCCCTGACCCTGTAGCTTCAGCCTCCCCTGCTTCACACCTCATCGCCATTCCCTTGTTTTATTTTTTCCTTTCCACTTACTGACATACATAATTTACTGATTTTTCTTCTTTACTTATCGCCTGTCTCCCCCAACTAGAATATAAGCTGTATGATGGCTGGGCGCAGTGGCTCACGCCTGTAATCCCAGCACTTTGGGAGGCCAAGGCGGGAGGATCACTTGAGGTCAGGAGTTTGAGACCAGCCTGGCCAACATGCTGAAGCCCCGTCTCTTCTAAAAATACAAAAAATTAGCCGGGTGTGGTGGTGGACGCCTGTAATCCCAGCTATTCAGGAGACTGAGGCGGAAGGATCATTTGAAGCGGGGAGGCAGAGGTTGCAGTGAGCCGAGATTGTGCCACTGCACTCCAGCCCTGGGCAACAAGAGCAAAACTCCGTCTGAAAAAAAAAAAAGGCTATATGAGGGCAGGAATTCTGGCCTCAGTGTGGCCCCAGGGCCTAGAGTAGTGGCCAGCACCCAGTAGGCAGCCAGTGGTGACCAGTGTTGACGGGATGGATGGACACAAGCGAGGGAGTGAAGGGACTGGCAAGTGTGCCGCTGCCTCTCTGCATGCGTGTGAGTCGGCGTGTCTGTGGGCACGGCATGGAACCGTCCTTGTCACGGAGGAGGGACAAAGGCAGAGAGCCAGGCTGCGGCAGCTGTTCCCCTCCTGGCAGCCCCACTGACTGGGCCACCGGCTGCGGCTCAGCCGCTTCCCGGGCCGCCCTGCAGTAGCATCTTGGCATCTTCTCGGCGGCCGGAAGGCGGGAAGGATGGCACAGCATCCCTCCATGGCATTGCTGCCGTAGCGAGAAGGTATCTTCTAATGGACTCCCACTTCCAGCCCTGGCCCTCCCCACTCTTTCAGCCTGGCCTTGCGGACCCTTCATGGGCTGGTCCCGGCCCCCTCCTCATGTACCAGTGGCATCCGGCTCCTCACCATTCCAGGAATATGCCCCCAGCTGCCAGCGCCCCGTGTTCTTGCCTCTGCCATTTCATGCTGTGCTGATTGAGATGGGACCCGCACTGCGGCCCCCTTGGCAGCTGCTCTCGGGGAATCGGAGCAGAGGCTGCGTGTCTGGGAGCCTGGGACCTGTGCTCCTCACGCTGCCTTGTCCTCCTCAGATCCTGGTGAAGTCCATGCTGAGGAAGCGTTCCTTTGGGAACCCGTTTGAGCCCCAAGCACGGAGGGAAGAGCGATCCATGTCTGCTCCAGGAAACCTACTGGTGTAAGTACTGGTGGGCCAGGGACTGCCGGGCACTCCCTGGAGTTGGGTGGGGAGGTCTGAGGCCCATCCTCCCACTCTCACTGTCGTTGGGCCAAGGCCAGAGCCTGGGGACTTGGCCAGGTCTCGGTGTTGGCCCCATTTGCATCTCTGTCCCCAAGGTTAGTCGGGGCTAGAAGGGACCTTTTGGGCCCAGCTCTTGCTTCATTCCTGGGGCCAGCATCCCTCACACACACACTTCCAGGGATGAGGAGCTCACGCAGCCCCTCCATGGGACAGGAAGACCCTTCTTCCATGCAGCTTGATGTCACTCTCTCACTGGGTCCAGCCCCTCTGGGGCTTCAAATCTGTGGCCCCCTCAGCCCTTGGCAGCCTGGCAGAGGTTTGCAGACAGGCTGATGTTGGCTTCCTGTAGGAGGCTGGCGGGCTGTAGAGGAGGGGTGCTGGCCCCTCTGCCTGGCCCTGGGGACTGTTGGCTGCTCTCCCAAGTGGCCCAGGCTGCCTGCAGCCATTGCTGGGGCTCTGTGCCCAGTCAGCACTTTGTGAGTGCTTGTTCAGTGAGTAAGCAGGGACAGGCTGGCCGGTGGACCACGGGAGAGGAACCCGCATTGGCCGAGGGCTCCCTATGGTGAGCCACGCCTGTGGGTTCACCACCTCCTAGGAGGGTCCAGAAAAGCAGCTCCCCAAGCCTGTGCGCCTCGTCCTCAGCAGATCCACCTTCTTCACTATAATAAAAGCCAGTCTGGGATGCTAATAAGGCCTGTGCTGGAGTTTGTACACAAACCTGCAGAGAGAAAACCAGTGGGGTCCTGAACCACAGCGTGGTCCTGGGACAGCCACTGCCTTCCTCTGGCCCCGGAGGGAAGCTTTGGGGAAGGGGCTGGTGGGAGTTGTTTGCCCCACCCTGGCCTGCTCTGTGTGGAAGGCGCACTCCCCAGAGGGGTGAGTGCCAGGCGCTGTCCGGGTGCCTTGGCTTCACGCTGTCACCAGGCCTGTCCGGGACCACCATGTTGGTTTCCCGTGAGGCCTCCCTCTCATAAGAGGGCCCTTCAGAAGGGTCGGGACCCCTCGTAGTGGACAAGCTGACATCTGCTCCCTGCTGGAGGTGGCTTGCACCCAGGGAGAGCCTCATAATGAGGTGGGGGGCCTGGGAGAGGCCTGGAGGTCCCAACTGCAGCTTTTCTGTCATCTCTTCAGGGAGGTGGTTGCGGTTGGGGGAGGATTCTCTGAGCTCATCCAGGAATGTAGGCCCCTGATGCTGGAATTGTGCTTAGTGTAGGGGGAGAGGGGGCATATATAATTTGACGTCCAAATGGGGACATTTTTGAGAGTGAAAGGGGAAGCCATTAATAATTATGCCAGCACGGCCGGGTGCGGTGGCTCACGCCTGTAATCCCAGCACTTTGGGAGGCCGAGGCGGGTGGATCACAGGGTCAGGAGATCGAGACCATCCTGGCTAACACGGTGAAACCCCGTCTCTACTAAAAATACAAAAAATCAGCTGGGCGTGGTGGCGGGCACCTGGAGTCCCAGCTACTCAGGAGGCTGAGGCAGGAGAATGGCGTGAACCCGGGAGGCAGAGCTTGCAGTGAGCCAAGGTCACGCCACTGCACTCCAGCCTGGGCGACAGAGTGAGACTCCGTCTCAAAAAATAATAATTATTATGCCAGCATGGTGGCTCATGCCTATAATCCCAGCACTTTGGGAGGCCAAGGCAGGATTGCTTGAGGCCAGGAGTTCAAGACCAGCCTGGGCAACATAGCAAGACCCCATCTCTAAAAAAAAAAAAAATTAGCCGGGCGTGGTGGTGGGTGCCTGTAGTCCCAGCAACTCAGGAGGCTGAGGTGGGAGGATTGCTTGAGTCTGGGAGGTGGAGGTTGCAGTGAGCTGAGATTGCACCACTGTACTCCAGCCTGGGTGACAGAGCCAGACCCTGTCTCAAAAAAAAAAAAGAAAAAAAAGTAATAATAATTATGCCAGGACAGCAGGTGGACGGACACCTGGTCCTTCTGACTCAGAGCCTGTGGTCCAGCACCCCCTAGTGGTGGAACAAGCCAGACACAGGATAAGGATACATTTAGTGTCTAGTTTGTACCTGGCAAACAGAGTGACAAGATTGGGCTTAATACTTTCCAGCTATAAAATTCTAGAATTCTGTGACCCAAGTTTAATTTGGGGTAGAGCTTTTTAAAAAAAAAATAGAGATGGAGTCTTGCCATGTTGCCCAGGCTGGACTTAAACTCCTGGCCTCAAGCCATTTGCCCACCTTGGCCTCCGAAAGTGCCAGGTGATTACAGGCATGAGCCACCACACCCAGCCTCCACGTTTAACTTTGAAAGAAGATTTTACTTCATCATCAAGTCCCAATATTTATCCTTGATAGACTGCTTTGGTTTTTTGTTTGTTTGTTTTGAGATGGAGTTTCACTCTTGTTGCCCAGGCTGGAGTGCAGTGGCGCAAACTCAACTCACTGCAGTCTCCGCCTCTCACATTCAAGCAGTTCTCTTGCCTCAGCCTCCCAAGTAGCTGGGATTACAGGTGCATGCCACCACCACACCGGCTAATTTTTGTATTTTTATTAGAGACGGGATTTCACCATTTTGGCCAGGCTGGTCTCAAACTCCTGACCTCAGGTAATCTGCCCACCTCAGCCTCCCAAAGTGCTGGGATTACAGGCGTGAGCCACTGTGCCCGGCCATAGAGTTTTTTATACTTTGGGATAATTGTAGAAACTCAGTAGTAGAGTTAAGTGGAGTTGGTCCTTTTTAAAGATATCAAAACCCATTTACTGGTTATTTTAAAAAGAGACATTTTGGGAGGAAAACTAGATATAGAAATCTGTTGAATATGTGACAGAATCCCAAGACTGATAGATGGACTCTGCCCTGTGAACAAGGCAAAGAAAAATGCAAAATGAAAGCCTCTCTACCCAGATCTGCTGGGGGATGACTGAGGTCAACACAGAAGGCCCTCAGGCCGGGCACGGTGGCTCACGCCTGCAATCCCAACACTTTAGGAGGCTGAGGTGGATGGATCGCTTGAGCCCAGGAGTTTGAGACCAGCCTGGGCAACATGGTGAAACCCTGTTTTTATAGAGATAAAAAAATACAAAAATTAGCTGGGCGTGGTGGCATGTGCCTGTAGTCTCAGCTACTCAGGAGGCTGAGGTGGGAGGATCGCTTGAGCCTGGAAGGCAGAGGTTGCAATGAGCTGAGATTGCACCACTGCACTGCAGCCTGCACGACAGAGCGAGACGCTGTCTCAAAACAACAACAAAACCACACACACAGAGAGAAGGCCCTTGATTAGGCTGATAGTTGGAGGATGTAGGGAAGTCAGCTGGGTCAGACTGTGAGCAGCTCCAGAGGCCGTGCTGGGAGGTTTAGACTTCATCTCTGGTCAATGGGGGGCCACGGAGGCGTTGCGGGCTGAGACTGGGGGCTGAGAGACCGGCAAGGAGCAACTGCCGTGATGTAGGGAGGCCAGAGGGAGGCCAAGCTTGGGGCAGTGGGTGAAGGGGGCTTTGAGAGATGTGGGATTCAGATTCCTGTGTGTGTGAGGGAGAGTGTCTCCCTGAGTGCATATTCTGACCCTGAGGTCCCTCTGTCCCTGGTGTCCCCTGAACAGGAAAGAAGGGTTTGGTGAAGGGGGCAAGAGCCCAGAGCTCCCCGGCGTCCAGGAAGACGAGGCTGCATCCTGAGCCCCTGCATGCACCCAGGGCCACCCGGCAGCACACTCATCCCGCGCCTCCAGAGGCCCACCCCTCATGCAACAGCCGCCCCCGCAGGCAGGGGGCTGGGGACTGCAGCCCCACTCCCGCCCCTCCCCCATCGTGCTGCATGACCTCCACGCACGCACGTCCAGGGACAGACTGGAATGTATGTCATTTGGGGTCTTGGGGGCAGGGCTCCCACGAGGCCATCCTCCTCTTCTTGGACCTCCTTGGCCTGACCCATTCTGTGGGGAAACCGGGTGCCCATGGAGCCTCAGAAATGCCACCCGGCTGGTTGGCATGGCCTGGGGCAGGAGGCAGAGGCAGGAGACCAAGATGGCAGGTGGAGGCCAGGCTTACCACAACGGAAGAGACCTCCCGCTGGGGCCGGGCAGGCCTGGCTCAGCTGCCACAGGCATATGGTGGAGAGGGGGGTACCCTGCCCACCTTGGGGTGGTGGCACCAGAGCTCTTGTCTATTCAGACGCTGGTATGGGGGCTCGGACCCCTCACTGGGGACAGGGCCAGTGTTGGAGAATTCTGATTCCTTTTTTGTTGTCTTTTACTTTTGTTTTTAACCTGGGGGTTCGGGGAGAGGCCCTGCTTGGGAACATCTCACGAGCTTTCCTACATCTTCCGTGGTTCCCAGCACAGCCCAAGATTATTTGGCAGCCAAGTGGATGGAACTAACTTTCCTGGACTGTGTTTCGCATTCGGCGTTATCTGGAAAGTGGACTGAACGGAATCAAGCTCTGAGCAGAGGCCTGAAGCGGAAGCACCACATCGTCCCTGCCCATCTCACTCTCTCCCTTGATGATGCCCCTAGAGCTGAGGCTGGAGAAGACACCAGGGCTGACTTTGACCGAGGGCCATGGACGCGACAGGCCTGTGGCCCTGCGCATGCTGAAATAACTGGAACCCAGCCTCTCCTCCTACACCGGCCTACCCATCTGGGCCCAAGAGCTGCACTCACACTCCTACAACGAAGGACAAACTGTCCAGGTCGGAGGGATCACGAGACACAGAACCTGGAGGGGTGTGCACGCTGGCAGGTGGCCTCTGCGGCAATTGCCTCACCCTGAGGACATCAGCAGTCAGCCTGCTCAGAGCGGGGGTGCTGGAGCGCGTGCAGACACAGCTCTTCCGGAGCAGCCTTCACCTTCTCTCTGGGATCAGTGTCCGGCTGGCCGACGTGGCATTTGCTGACCGAATGCTCATAGAGGTTGACCCCCACAGGGTCACGCAGGACTCGGACACTGCCCTGGAAACATGGATGGACAAGGGCTTTTGGCCACAGGTGTGGGTGTCCTGTTGGAGGAGGGCTTGTTTGGAGAAGGGAGGCTGGCTGGGGGAGAAACCCGGATCCCGCTGCATCTCCGCGCCTGTGGGTGCATGTCGCGTGCTCATCTGTTGCACACAGCTCACTCGTATGTCCTGCACTGGTACATGCATCTGTAATACAGTTTCTACGTCTATTTAAGGCTAGGAGCCGAATGTGCCCCATTGTCAGTGGGTCCACGTTTCTCCCCGGCTCCTCTGGGCTAAGGCAGTGTGGCCCGAAGCTTAAAAAGTTACTCGGTACTGTTTTTAAGAACACTTTTATAGAGTTAGTGGAAGGCAAGTTAAGAGCCAATCACTGATCCCCAAGTGTTTCTTGAGCATCTGGTCTGGGGGGACCACTTTGATCGGACCCACCCTTGGAAAGCTCAGGGGTAGGCCCAGGTGGGATGCTCACCCTGTCACTGAGGGTTTTGGTTGGCATCGTTGTTTTTGAATGTAGCACAAGCGATGAGCAAACTCTATAAGAGTGTTTTAAAAATTAACTTCCCAGGAAGTGAGTTAAAAACAATAAAAGCCCTTTCTTGAGTTAAAAAGAAAAAAAAAAGGTTTGTGCGTACATTTTCTGCATCTGGATATACGTTCTTTCTCAGCAGCTGGAACAGCTGGCTTTGTTGAATTTTCTGGAAGCGTCTGAGGCACCCTAAGTCCCTGAGCAGGACAGTGGTGAGAAGTGGTCTTGGCGGAGGGAGGGAGAGGGAAGGGCTGGCTCAGGAGGTGACCGGGCTGCAGTCCAGGGTACAGCTGAGGCTCCTGGGCGGGTCCGTGGCCACTCCTTGGGAAGAACTGCCTGTTTCACAGGGGCTCAGGATGCCAAGGTCTGGTCCGGGTAGGAGCCATAGCTGCTGCTTTTGGGGCAGAGGTCCCTGTGGTGTCACAGGAGTGCCTGTGACACCAGCCCAGTGACCTCCCATCCCCGCTTAGCCTTGGACACTGGTACAGACTTTTGGGACCCCACACCTCTGTTCCCATGGTACAGCCCTCCAGGGCAGCGACGAAAAGAGTCATCCTTAAGGTCACACAGCCCTGAGCTTGAATCCAAGCTTTGCTACTTAAAAATTGTGTGACCTTTGGCAGGTCATTGGAGGAGCCTCAGTTCCCTTATTGATTTAATGGGAATGTTCCCGTGGGGTGTTTTGTTTGTTTGTTTGAGATTTTTTGAGACTTGCTCTGTCACCCAGGCTGGAGTGCAATGGCAAGATCTCGGCTCACTGCAACCTCTTCCTCCTGGGTTCAAGCGATTCTCCTGCCTCAGCCTCCCAAGTAGCTGGGACTACAGGTGCCCGCCACCATGCCCCAGCTAATTTTTTGTACTTTTAGTAGAGACGGGGTTTCACCATGTTGGCCAGGCTGGTCTTGAACTCCTGACCTCAGGTGATCTGCCCACCTCGGCCTCCCAAAGTGCTGGGATTACAGGCGTGAGCCACCGCGCCCACCTCCCATGGGGTTTGAATGCAAACAATGCAAACGTTTTCGTCTGCTCTCACACTACAACAGTGAACACAGAAGACTTCTGTGACCGGCTGGGCGCGGTGGCTCACGCCTGTAATCCCAGCACTTTGGGAGGCTGAGGAAGGCGGATCATGAGGTCAGGAGATCGAGACCATCCTGGCTGACACGGTGAAACCCCGTCTCTACTAAAAATACAAAAAATTAGCCGGGCACCTGTGGTCCCAGCTACTCAGGAGACCGAGGCAGGAGAATGGCGTGAACCCGGGAGGTGGAGGTTGCAGTGAGCTGAGATTGCGCCACTGCACTCCAGCCTGGGCGACAGAGCAAGACTCCGTCTCAAAAAAAAAAAAAAAAAGACTTCTGTGACCAACCATGTGGAGTCCCCCCCACCCCCATATCCCTTCTGCAGCAGACCCCAGCCAGGTGTCTTCTAACTCAATTCCGACACTGTCTGCTTGGAAACAGTATCGGATCCCACAGGTTGAGGACACAAGCCTACAAGACAGTCCCTCAGTCAGACACCAGTCATGAGTCCCAGCCTCTGGAGTTTCTGTCCCACCGGCTTCAAGTTGGGGTTCCCACAACCCTCTCTTTGGGTTTGATTAATTTGCTGGAGCGGCTCACAGAACTCATGGAAACACGTTTACCGGTTTATTATAAAGGATTTGGCAAAGGATACAGATGAGGGGAGATGCACAGGGCAAAGGACGGGGGAGGGGTGGAGAGCTTCCATGTCCCCCCAGGATGCCACCCTCCAGGGACCTCCATGTGTTCAGCTCTCCGGAAGCTCCTCAAACCTTGTCCTTTTGGGGTTTTTGTGGAGGTTTCAATACCTAGGTATGATTGATTAAATCATTAGCCATTGGTGATCACCTTAACCTTCAGCCTCTCTCTCCTCCCCAGAGGTAGGGGATGGGCCTGACAGTCCCAACCCTCTAATCCTGCCTGGGTCTTTCTGGTGACCAGACCCCATCCTGAAGCCACCTAGGGGCTGCCAGCCACCAGTCAATTCGTTAGCAAAGAAAAAGCTATCCCTGGCCTGGTGCGGTGGCTCACGCCTGTAATCCCAGCACTTTGGGAGGCCGAGGCGGGGTGGATCACGAGGTCAGGAGATCGAGACCATCCTGGCTAACACGGTGAAACCCCGTCTCTACTAAAAATACAAAAAATTAGCCAGGCACGGTGGCGGGCGCCCGTAGTCCCAGCTACTCGGGAGGCTGAGGCAGGAGAATGGCGTGAACCCGGGAGGCGGAGCTTGCAGTGAGCCGAGATCGTGCCACTGCACTTCGGCCTAGGCGAAAGAGTGAGACTCTGTCTCAAAAAAAAAAAAAAGGGAAAAAGCTATCCCTTTGGAGATCCTCAGGATTTCAGGAGTTGCATGCCAGGAAATGGGCTCGAAACCAAATATGTTTCACAGTACTGCAGGGTTCTTGTGACGGTAAATGAAGTCCTTGTGCCAAGCGCCTGGTACAGAGCTCAGCACGTGGTAAATTCTCAGCAAATGACACCCTTAAAAGGAAAGGCCTCTCTGCCTCGGGGCTGCCGGACCCAGCCTTGGGGGTCACGGTCTCAGCACGTCCTACGTGACTGGTATTTGCCCAGCTGTGGAGCTTCCCTCTGGGTGAAGCTGCCCTCTGGGTCCATCAGAGCTGCTGAAGACCAGGAGGGAGACCAGGCTATAGGCTGCCCAGTGGGGTGATCAGGTTTTCCATCTGAGAAACAGACCAGAGCTGCTCCTGCCTGCTTCCTGGTGGTCCCACAAAGCTCCCGTGAGGGGCTGTACCATGCCCTCTCCAGGAGGGGTGCTGGTGGTCAGGCTGAAGCTCCCCAGACACCAAGACCAATAAGCCCATCTTGTTCTCATTTCCTCCCCACCACTGGAGCCCCTCAAATGCAGCCTCGCCATCTCTCACCTCCTCACTGGTCTTCTAGCCTTGGTCCTTGGCCCTCTGGTCCATGCCCTCCCTGGCTGCCCGAGTGATCTTTCTGAGCACCCACCTGACCATGCCCCTCTCAGAACCCTGCCATGGTCCCCACGGTGCTCAGCCTGGTGCTCAAGGCCCCGTCAGCCTCTCTGGATGCCCTCCCCACTCATGTCCCACCCTCTCACCTTGCTCCCATTCCTCTTCAGGCCCAGCCATTCCGGCGGGACACTGCCTCCCCTCAATCCCTGCCCCTGCTTGTCAAGCTTGACCCCGCCCTCCAAGGCCTGTTCAGCAGCTGGAAAAATCCAGAGGTGGGTTCATTGAAATGGTCACCAGATTGATACAGAATTACAGCACAGGAGGGCACCGGCCAAACTTCTCACTCGGTCCCCACCAGAGTCCAAGAGGGACCGTGCCTAAGGCACTGGAGCTTTCACAAGGACGAGATTCTCCATGCCCTCAGGCGCTCCCGCTCCTTTAAGGCAATCTGTGCCAATATCCATCTACCTCCCTCGGAAACCCACCCCAAAGCTGAGAAAGGGCTCCCCACTGCAGTCTGTCTGCTCCCTCCACCCCAGCCCCATTCAGTTCGAAGGGGTAGTTCTAGAATCTCCTGGGGAGCTTTTAAAAAATCCTCATGCCTGGGTCGACCTTCAGAGATTCTGGTTCAAATGGTCAAGGATGCCGTCTGGGTGTCAGGATTTTTTAAAATATATATTTTATATTTAAAAAATTATTTTAGGCCGGGTGTGGTGGCTCACGCCTGTAATCCCAGCACTTTGGGAGGCTGACGCGGGTGGATCACAAGGTCAGGAAATCGAGACCATCCTGGCTAACACGGTGAAACCCCGTCTCTACTAAAAATACAAAAAATTAGCTGGGCGTGGTGGCAGGCGCCTGTAGTCCCAGTTACTGGGAAGGCTGAGGCAGGAGAATGGCTTGAACCCGGGAGGCGGAGCTTGCAGTGAGCCGAGATTGCGCCACTGCACTCCAGCCTGGGCGACAGAGTGAGACTCCATCTCAAAAAAAAAAAAAAATTATTTTAGCAGTTTTAGGTTTTTAGAAAAATTGAGCAGAAGATACTGACAGGGCCAGAGTGGTGGCTCATGCCTGGAATCCCAGCACGTTGGGAGGCCGAGGCAGACGGATCACTCGAGGTCAGGAGATCGAGACCATCCTGGCTAACACGGTGAAACCCCGTCTCTACTAAAAATACAAAAATTAGCGGGGCATGGTGGCGGGCACCTGTAATCCCAGCTACTCAGGAGGCTGAGGCAGGAGAATCGCTTGAACCCAGGAGGCGGAGGTTGCAGTGAGCCAAGATCACGCCATTGTACTCCAGCCTGGGTGACAGAGTGAGACCCTGTGAAAAAAAGAAGGAAGGAAGGAAGAGAGAGAGAGACAGACAGTTCCCATATATCCTCTCAACCTCCACCTCCCGCCCCCCAATTTCTCTTATTATTAACATCTTGCATTGGGGTACATTTGCTTCAATTTATGAACCAATATTGATACATTATTATTAACTAAAGTCCACGGATTACATTAGGACTCACTGAGTTGTATTATTCTATAGTTTTTAACAAATGTATAATGACATGTATTCACCATTACAGTGTCACATAGAATAGTTTTGCTATGGCCGGGCGCGGTGGCTCACACCTGTAATCCCAGCACTTTGGGAGGCCGAGGTGGGCAGATCACAAAGTCACAAGTTGGAGACCAGCCTGGCCAATATGGTGAAACCTTGTCTCTACTAAAAATATAAAAATTGGCTGGGCGCGGTGGCTCACGCCTGTAATTCCAGCACTTTGGGAGGCCGAGGCGGGTGGATCACGAGGTCAGGAGATCAAGACCATCCTGGCTAACACAGTGAAACCCCATCTCTACTAAAAAAACCAAAAAATTAGTTGGGCGTGGTGGCGGGCGCCTGTAGTCCCAGCTACTCGGGAGGCTGAGGCAGGAGAGTGGTGTGAACCCAGGAGGCGGAGCTTGCAGTGAGCGGAGATCACCCCACTGCACTCCAACCTGGGCGAGAGAGCAAGACTCTGTCTTAAAATATGTATATTAGCTGGGCATGGTGATAGGCGCCTGTATCCCCAGCTACTCCAGAGGCTTAAGGCAGGAGAATCACTTGAACCCGGGAAGCGGAGGTTGCAGTGAGCCGAGATCAAACCACTGTACTCCAGCCTGGGTGACAGAGCGAGACTCTGTCTCAGAAAAAAAAAAAAGTTTTGCTGCCCTAAAAATCCTGTCCTTTACCCATTCATCTCTCCCCCTCCTTTCTCCCTTTGATAACGACTGATCTTTTTACTGTCTCCATAGATTTGCCTTTTCCAGAATATCATATTGTTGGAATCACATAGTATGTAACCTTTTCAGCTCTCCAGGTGACTTTCTTTTTTTTATTGATCATTCTCGGGTGTTTCTCGCAGAGGGGGATTTGGCAGGGTCATAGGACAATAGGAGGGAAGGTCAGCAGACAAACAAGTGAATAAAGGTCTCTGGTTTTCCTAGGCAGAGTGTTTGTGTCCCTGGGTACTTGAGATTAGGGAGTGGTGATGACTCTTAACGAGCATGCTGCCTTCAAGCATCTGTTTAACAAAGCACATCTTGCACCGCCCTTAATCCATTTAACCCTGACTGGACACAGCACATGTTTCAGAGAGCACAGGGTTGGGGGTAAGGTCACAGATCAACAGGATCCCAAGGCAGAAGAATTTTTCTTAGTACAGAACAAAATGAAAAGTCTCCCATGTCTACTTCTTTCTACACAGACACGGCAACCATCCGATTTCTCAATCTTTTCCCCACCTTTCCCCCCTTTCTATTCCACAAAACCGCCATTGTCATCATGGCCCGTTCTCAATGAGCCGCTGGGCACACCTCCCAGACGGGGTGGCTGCCGGGCAGAGGGGCTCCTCACTTCCCAGTAGGGGCGGCCGGGCAGAGGCGCCCCTCACCTCCCGGACGGGGCGGCTGGCCGGGCGGGGGGCTGACTCCCCCACCTCCCTCCCGGACGGGGCGGCTGCCGGGCGGAGACGCTCCTCACTTCCCAGACGGGGTGGCAGCCGGGCGGAGGGGCTCCTCACTTCTCAGACAGGGCGGCCGGGCAGAGACGCTCCTCACCTCCCAGACAGGGTCGCGGCCGGGCCGAGGCGCTCCTCACATCCCAGATGGGGCGGCGGGGCAGAGGTGCTCCCCACATCTCAGACGATGGGCGGCCGGGCAGAGACGCTCCTCACTTCCTAGGTGGGATGGCGGCCGGGAAGAGGCGCTCCTCACTTCCTAGATGGGATGGCGGCCGGGCAGAGACGCTCCTCACTTTCCAGACTGGGCAGCCAGGCAAAGGGGCTCCTCACATCCCAGACGATGGGCGGCCAGGCGGAGACGCTCCTCACTTCCCAGACGGGGTAGCGGCCGGGCAGAGGCTGCAATCTCGGCACTTTGGGAGGCCAAGGCAGGCGGCTGGGAGGTGGAGGTTGTAGCCAGCCGAGATCACGCCACTGCACTCCAGCCTGCGCGCCATTGAGCACTGAGTGAACCAGACTCTGTCTGCAATCTCGGCACCTCGGGAGGCCGAGGCTGGTGGATCACTCGCGGTTAGGAGCTGGAGACCAGCCCGGCCAACACAGCGAAACCCGTCTCCACCAAAAAAATACGAAAACCAGTCAGGCGTGGCGGCGCGCGCCTGCAATCGCAGGCACTCGGCAGGGTGAGGCAGGAGAATCAGGCAGGGAGGTTGCAGTGAGCCGAGATGGCAGCAGTACAGTCCAGCTTCGGCTCGGCATGAGAGGGAGACCGTGGAAACAGAGGGAGAGGGAGACCGTGGGGAGAGGGAGACCGTGGGGAGAGGGAGACCGTGGGGAGAGGGAGAGGGAGAGGGAGAGGGAGAGCGAGAGGGAGAGCTTTTTTTTTTTTTTTGAGACGGAGTCTCTCTCTGTTACCCAGGCTGGAGTGCAGTGGTGCAGTCTCGGCTCACTGCAACCTCTGCCTCCCAGGTTCAAGCGATTCTCCTGCCTCAGGCTCCCAAGTAGCTGGGATTACAGGTGCCTGTCACCATGCCCGGCTAATTTTTTTGTATTTTTAGTAGAGATGGGGTTTCACCATGTTGGCCAGGCTGGTCTCGAACTCCTGACCTCGTGATCCGCCTGCCTTGGCCTCCCAAAGTGCTGGGATTACAGGTGTGAGCCACCGACAGCAGGGGTTGACATGAATAGCCCTGGTTTAGAATTTGGTAAAGGGAGGTGGTGGCTCTGGGGTTCTGTGTTACTAAATCTAGTATGGGCAAAAGTCTCATTTCCTTTTGATATGTCCATCTGTCTGTCATCCATCCATCCATCCTTCAATATTTGTCCCGGGCCTTCTGTAACCAGGCTCTGAGTTAGACACTAAGCCAAACCATCACCGTCGCTGCTCTCATGGTTCTCGCATTCTGCTGCAGGAGACAGACACGAATCAAGTTGCCATGCATGTGCTTGGATGATTTTGAAGCGACGGGCGCTTTACAGGAAAGGCCTGTGGTGAGTGGCTCTCTGAGAGTAGTCAGGAAGGCTTCCCAGAGGAAGGAAGGTTCCAGCTGTGATCTGAGGTTCAGACAGAACTCACTAGACCAAGGGAAGGAGGGGGAAGAAAGCTCTGAGCAGGGAGCCTGGCTTGTGCAAGGGCCTGTGGGAGGAGGGAGAATGGTGCTTTCCAAGAACCGAAGTGTTGATGCTGGGAGTGAGGAGAGAGTCGTGAGAGATGAAGCTGGAGAGCGGACGGGGCTGCAGCATGTGTACCGAAAAGACAGATCACTCAGGCCAGGCGCCGTGGCTCATGCTTGTCACCCAGGCACGGTGGCTCATGCTTGTAATCCGGATGTGGTGGCTCATACTTGTCATCCCAGCACTTTGGGAGGCCAAGACAGGCGGATCACTTGAGCCCAGGAGTTCAAGACCGGCCTGGGCAACAAACTGAGACCCCATCTCTACAAAAAACAAAAATTAGCTGGATGTGGTGGTGCATGCCTGTGGTCTCAGCTACATGGGAGGCTAAGGCAGGAGGATCACTTGAGTCCAGGTGGTTGAGGCTGAGGGAGCCAAGATGGCACCATTGCACTCCAGCCTGGGCAACAGAGCAAGAACCTGTCTCAAAACAAAGAAACAACAGAAAACAAACAACAACAACAACAATGAAGATTTCTCTGGCTACAATGTAGAAGGATGGGAATAGAAGAACCAGAAAAACAAGAGAGGGCAGTGAGGAGGCCGTGGCAGTGTCCACTCAAGGGATGCTAGTAGGATGTGGCCAGGATGAAAAGAAGCAGACGGACATGAGGGATATGCGGGAGGCCAGAGTGACAAGACCATGCATGGGCTGGCCATGCGGGTGGGAGAGGAAGGGGTCAGGGGGGCCCCAAGCTTCCAGCCACGCCCACCTGGATCGACTGTGGTGCTGATCAGGGAGGGAGCGAACGCAGGAATGGACCCGCCTTGCTACATTCAAAGGAAGATGTCCAGGAGGCAGCTGGACATGCGCATCTGGAGCTCGAGGGAGAGGCGAGAACTGGAAATGGAGACGCGGGGGCCCTCAGCGTGTGGACGGCCGTGGAGTTGGAAGCCATGCGTGTGATGAGCTAGTCGAGGGAGTGAGAAGGGGCCCAGGATTGAGCTCTGGCAGAATGCCACTGTTGTGGAAGTTGAAGAACCTGCAAAGGCCGTAGGGCAGGAGCGGTGGAGAAAAAAGAAAACCATGAGTGGCATGATCACAGCAGAGCGTGTGTGGTCTCAGGAACTGGGAGTGGCCCTCAGCATCCATGATGCCGAGTGCTCAAGGGAGGTGAGGAGAAGATCGAGAAAGTGAGAGACATGGCCGGGCACGGTGGCTCATGCCTAGAATCCCAGCACTTTGGGAGGCAGAGGGGGGTGGATCACGAGGTCAGGAGTTTGAGACCAGCCTGGCCAAGAGGGTGAAACCCTGCCTCTACTAAAAATACAAAAATTAGCCAGGCATGGTGGTGGCGCCTATAATCCCAGCTACTTGGGAGGCTGAGGCAGGATAATTGCTTGAACTCGGGAGGCAGAGGTTGCAGTGAGCCGAGATCGCGCCATTGCACTCCAGTCTGGGGGACAGAGCAAGACTCCGTCTTGGGGGTGGGGGGAAGAAAGTGAGGGAGATGGAGAGAGGGAGAATGGAGAAGGTGAGGGAAGATGGTCCTTGCAAGAAGTTAGCTATGGCCGGACGCGGTGGCTCACACCTGTAATCCCAGCACTTTGGGAGGCTGAGGCGAGTGGATCGTCTGTGGTCAGGAGTTCAAGACCAGCCTGGCCAACATGATGAAACCCTGTCTCTACTAAAAATACAAAAAAATTAGCCAGGCATGGTGGCGGGCACCTGTAATCCCAGCTACTCGGGAGGCTGAGGCAGGAGAATTGCTTGAACCCAGGAGGTGGAGGTTGCAGTGAGCTGAGATCCAGCCTGGGCAACAGAGAGAGACTCCACCTCAAAACAAACAAACAAAAACAAGAATTTAGCTAGGCAGTGGATGGGGCACATAGATACAGTGCCCCCACCAGGGTCAGCTGCCTCATGACCTCTTCTTCAACCACGGAAGCTTTTCCTGAATGACTGATGGGCGTGCGCATGTTGCAAGGACACTCATGAACCGAGGAGTGTGAGGCGTGCAGGTCGCGGGCACCCAGCTTCAGACTGCACTAAAGAACATCCCTGCTTCAATCAGCAGGGCATCAGCTCAGGCAAGTGCACCAGGTTACCAGCCCTCAGGGAGCATCTGATTTCTCCTGAGGAGCTCACATTACCTTTCCACGGCTTTTCCCTGTGCCACTCCAGGGGAAGTAGGATTCCATTATTTTTATTCCCCTCCTTGCTGGGTAAGAGAGGAAGGAATAAGCAGAGGGAGAGGGCTGGGTGTGGTGGTTCACGGCTATAATCCCAGCACTTTGGGAGGCCAAGGTGGGAAGACTTCTTGAGCCCAGGAGTTCAAGACCAGCCTGGGCAACACGGTGAAACCCTGTCTCTACTAAAAATACAAAAATTAGCCGGCCGTGGTGGCACATGCCTGTAATCCCAGCTACTTGGGAGGCTGAGGCAGGAGAATCGCTTGAGTCCGGAAGGCGGAGCTTGCAGTGAGCTGAGATTGTGCCATTGCACTCCAGTCTAGGTGACAGAGTGAGACTCTGTCTCGATAAATAAATAAATAAATAAATAAAGGAGAGGGAGTGACCAATTTCAATGAAAGAAATCACAGAAAAGGAACCCTTTAGAAGAGCCTGTTAATATCCTCCCTGCCCTCTAGCCTACTTCTCCTGAGAGTTGTGTACACTGGCTCAAATCTCCCCACTAATGTGCCTTCCCCTTCATGGACTCTGCTCTCCTCAAAGTCACCAATGGCCAGCAAACCTCTAGACCCAAAACAAGTTCCATCGTGAACTTATGGCAGAACATGACACTTGATCACTCCCTTCTTAAAACTCTCTCTCCAGTCTGTCCCAATGTCCCATTCCCCTGATTTTCTCTATTAATTAAAAATTTTTGCCGGGCGCAGTGGCTCACGCCTGTAATCCCAGCACTTTGGGATGCTGAGGCAGGTGAATCACAAGGTCAGGAGTTCAAGACCAACCTGGCCAAGATGGTGAAACCCCGTCTCTACTAAAAATACAGAAAGTCGCCAGGCATAGTGGCACGTGCCTGTAATCCCAGCTACTCGGGAGGCTGAGGCAGAGAACTGCTTAAAACCTGGGAGGGGGAGGTTGCAGTGAGCCAAGCTCGTGCCACTGCACTCCAGCCTTGGCAACAGAGTGAGACTCCCATCTAAAAAAAATATATATCCAGACTTTGGAAACAGAAAAAGGAAAATGCCCTGTTGGTACTGTGCCAGGTGTTATCTGCCTGGGGAACCATCTGATTCTCTACAGATGTATAGCTTTGTCTGACTTCTTATGCACTATTGATTAGGGTATTTTACAACTGAGAGTAGAGGTTTATAGAAAATTCATAACAGGTGGCTGGGTGCAGTGGCTCACGCCTGTAATCCCAGCACTTTGGGAGGCTGAAGCAGGTGGATCACAAGGTCAGGAGATCGAGACCAACCTGGCTAACACGGTGAAACCCCGTCTCTACTAAAAAAAATACAAAAAATTAGCTGGGCATGGTGGCAGGCGCCTGTAGTCCCAGTTACTCAGGAGGCTGAGGCAGGAGAATGGCGTGAACCCAGGAGGCGGAGGTTGCAGTGAGCCGAGATCGTGCCACTGCACTCCAGCCTGGGTGACAGAGCGAGACTCCATCTCAAAAAAAGAAAAAAAAAAAAGAAAAAAGAAAATTTGGCCGGGCGTGGTGGCTCACGCCTGTAATCCCAGCACTTTGGGAGGCCGAGGCGGGCAGATCACGAGGTCAGGAGATCGAGACCATCCTGGCTAACACGGTGAAACCCCGTCTCTACTAAAAATACAAAAAAGTAGCCGGGCGTGGTGGTGGGCACCTGTAGTCCCAGCTACTCGGGAGGCTGAGGCAGGAGAATGGCGTGAACCCGGGAGGCAGAGCTTGCAGTGAGCCGAGATCACACCACTGCACCCCAGCCTGGGTGACAGAGCGAGACTCCATCTCAAAAAAAGAAAAAAAAGAAAATTTATAACAAGTAAATAATTCTTGTCCAGTAGTAATGCAAATGTTTTCTGTCTGGTGGTAAAGGGAGTCCTGGAGGTTATCGTTTCTTGCCTTACAGGACATTAACTTGCCTTGTCAAATTCATCTCAGCATTCCTTTGACTGACCAACCACATATTCATTCAAGTTCCCCTTCAAACTATTCTTCATATTTCTACTGGTTTCCTCATTTTCTAATGACTGGGTAACAGCTTTGACATGTGTTCATTTTACATCTGTTTGAGAGTCATGTTTTTCAACTTTTTGAAAATCAGCCCTTACCACCTTCCTAAATTCTCTGTGTCTCCAACTCAGCAGGCTGCATCGCGAACAGGAAAGGGGATGGGAGATGGTGACTAAGGTGACCACAAAGAGCAAGGCACAGAGGGCTTTCCTGACACGCGCCTAGGAGCCTTGGTGTTTGCCTGATGTCCCGGCTTGTCCTGGACTCCTCATGTACCTGCCGGCTGGTGTGCCAGGGTGCTGGGGCTCTTCTGGATGGCACTGAACTGCAACACTGAATCCTCACCGAATTGCGTCCTCAAGCAACAAGGCATCCTCCCCAGCAGGGTGAGGGGCCTGCCCAGCCTTCTCTACTGGCCTCCTGGTGTCCATAGCTGAGGAGGGATTACTTCCTCCTCTCCCATCCCCTAACCCCACAGGCCTAGTAATGGTGGGGGCTGTGACTCTTACCTATAGCTGGCCACCCCAACTACACATTTTGTTTGAAATTAAACACACACACACACACACACCCGTACATATTCTATGTATGCATTCAACCCATTTTTTTTTTTTTTTTTTGGAGACGGAGTCTCGCTCTGTCGCCCAGGCTGGAGTGCAGTGGTATGATCTCGGCTCACTGCAACCTCCACCTCCCGGGTTCAAGTGATTCTCCTGCCTCAGCCTCCCAAGTAGTGCATGCCACCATGCCCGGCTAATTTTTTTTTTTTAGTAGAGACACGGTTTCACCATGTTAGCCAGGATGATCTCGATCTCCTGACCTCATGATCTGCCCGCCTTGGCCTCCCAAAGTGTTGGGATTACAGGCATGAGCCACCGTGCCCGGCCTCAACCCAATTTTTAAAAGTACTTTGTGTCCCATTCATCAAATAAAACTAGTCCTCTAAAGAGCTCTGTCTTGTGTTTATCCTGTGGTTTAGCCCAAATTTAAGAAAAACTGTGATGTACTGCACCCCTTCTGTTGGACCCTGTATCTACATATAAATTATCACATTTAACCCTCACAACCTCCTTTGTAGGTAGGTAATGGTCCATTTTACTGATGAAGGAACTGAGACTCCAAAGTGCTAAGCAGCTTGCCTAAGGTCACACATGGTGGATGGGGCCCGGCCAGCCAGCTCGAAACCCAGGTGTGTCTGATGCTGACCATGCTCTTCCTTGGTTTATCATTATTTGCTCCTCCATGGTCAGAGCTGGTAGGGCCTCAGGGCCTCAGAGACTGTAGGGTCTCACCTATGCCCTCCTCAGATGGGAAAACAGACCCAAAAACCTGTCCAAGGTTACCCAGGGAGGAAGATGCAAAATCAGGACTCAGGCCGGGCGCGGTGGCTCATGCCTGTAATCCCAAGACTTTGGGAGGCCGAGGCGGGTGGATCGCTTGAGGTTAGGAATTCGAGACCAGCTTAGTCAACATGGTGAAACCCTGTCTCTACAAAAAAAAAAAAAAAAAAGAAAGAAAGAAAGAAAGAGGAGAGGGAGGAAGGAAGGAAAAGAGAAAGAAAGAAAAGAAGAAAGAAAGGAAGGAAGAAAGGAATAAAGAAAGAAAGAAAGAAAGAAAAAGAAAATCAGGACTCAGAACAGCAGCTGATCAGTGACACCCTCGGGACGCGTAGACAACCCCTCTCCCCCACCAGGCTCTCGTTAGAAATATCCGCCGGAAACTATGCTCACAGGTCTACAGTGGATGGCACCCTCAGGAGTCAGGAAATCGGCGTCCAAGTTCTGGCCTTTGGGCAGGTCTCTCCCTCTTGGAGTCTCAATTTTTGTGTATGTAACATGGGCCAATTTTGGGGAGACTTTTAAGAGACAAAGACTGGCAAGGCAAGTAACTTTATAAACCTACAGATTGTCCAGAGGTGATATATCAAGGCTCATTGTAAACTCTGGAAGACTTAGATCCAGCTTTTATCCCTTAAATGGCGTCACCTTGGGTCAATTTCTATGCCTCAGTTTCCTCATATATGAAATGGGGGTCAAAATAGGATCTACTTCATAGAGTTGTTCTAAGGGTTCGAGCGCTTGGAAGTGTCTGGCCCATAGTGATCACTCAGGAAAGTTGGCTTTTAGTACAGCTTTAGCCTCAAGGCGTAGCTACATTGTAACCCTTGACTACCCCGGTCTCCTCCAAGCTCCGTAGTTCCCGCAGGCCCCGCCCCCGTCCCCGCTCAGTCCCGCCTTCTCCTCCCCAGGTCCCGCCCGCGCAGCCGGCCCGGTTTTCTCCCGCCACCAGGGGGCGGCGGCGCTAAGGGCGGCCTTCTGGGCCGAAGCCGGCGACGCTCTAGGTAGCTGCGGCGGCTCCTCTGTGGCCAGTGGCAGCGGCGCTCTAGCCGGCGGCCGTGAGGGGCGGGCTCTCAGTGGTGCGGCCGGCAGGCAGCGATGGCGGCCGTACGGGGCCTGCGGGTGTCGGTGAAGGCGGAGGCCCCGGCGGGGCCGGCCCTGGGGCTCCCGTCCCCTGAGGCGGAGTCCGGTGTTGACCGTGGCGAGCCGGAGCCCATGGAGGTGGAGGAGGGCGAGCTGGAAATCGTGCCTGTGCGGCGCTCGCTCAAGGAACTGATCCCGGTACGGGCGGGGGTCGGGGGGTAAGGAAGAGGTCGCGGGGCTAGTGTCTAGCGCCGGAGGGGGCCGGAAGGGGCGGTGGCCGGAGCCCCAGCCGGGGAAGTCAAGGGAGCGGGAGAGGAGGGAGCCAGCGTCCTGGGAACGGGAACGCCGGGCTGGAGGAGGGACGCGGAGCGGGAGAAAGGACGCCGGGGCGCCGGAAATGGGTGTTGAGGGGGCTGGGGGGTGGTGGCGGAGAGCTGGGAGGGAGTTGAGGACCCCCCTCCGCTGCCCCCTCTGAGCCGCGCTGTGCAAGGAGGTGAGTGAGGAGGGGCTGGAAGGATGAGATAAAGGGGGAGCCCTGGGCGGGAACAGAACCAGGGGCAGCCCAGAAGGAGCTGTTGGGTGGCGCCAGCAACCAGGTCTCCTTGTGGGTCTTGCCCCGGAGGAATTTGTATCTGGGAAACATGGCACTCGCTCTTTGTCTTGAGAGGGCTGCACTTGTCAGCAGCAGAAACTCACTGTTTCTGTCGTGACTTCGGGGTCATCTTGCCCCCCCCGCAGCTCCAGTGACACCTACACCGTGGCCCCAGCATCTGACTCTTAATGAAAGCAAACTAGCAGACGACCAATAGACATCCTTGGTCCCTCCTTTACCGCGCTGGGGATGGTGAGAGGTGTTTTGCTTGTGACTTGGTGGCTGTATATCCAGTTCTCAGAGCTGGTTTCAGGCCTGGATGACTCCTCTTAATTTCTCACCTAACATGAATTACTTTTGACCACATGTCAACATATTTAGACTGAAGTTATGGAGAAAGGTTAAAGTATGATCGCTAGAGATGGCAAACGTTATAATTATGATTAACAACAGCTAATATAGTAGCATTTACCATTCACTATATTGTGTCACTTAAATATACTGGCCGTGCACGCCTTTAGTGCCAGCTATTCAGGAGTCTAAGTTCCAGACCAGCCTCAGCAATATAGCAAGACCCCTTTGAGGTCCCCCCTTTCCCCTCTCCCCATCTCAAAAACAAAACCAAAATAAATAAATATTACTGCAGTTGTGAAGCAGGTGTTATCATCCCTTTAGTCATTCAGTTCAACATGGTTTTTGTTTTGTTTTGTTTTGAGACGGAGTTCGCTCTTGTTGCCCAGGCTGGAACGCAATGGCGCGATCTCGGCTCACCGCAACTTCCGCCTCCCGGGTTCAAGCCATTCTCCTGCCTCAGCCTCCTGAGTAGCCAAGTACAATGGCCTGATCTTGGCTCACCGCAACCTCCGCCTCCTGGGTTCAAGCTACTCTTCTGCCTCAGCCTCCCAAGTAGTTGAGATTACAGGGATGTGCCACCGTGCCCGGCTAATTTTGTATTTTTAGTAGAGACGGGGTTTCTCCATGTTGGCCAGGCTGGTCTCGAACACCTGACCTCAGGTGATCCGCCCGCCTCTGCCTCCCAAAGTGCTGGGATTACAGGCCTGAGCCATTGCGTCCGGCCAACATGTATTTATTGCATCCCCCGCTATGTACCAAGGCACAGCCCTAGGTGCTTGATCAAGCTCAACCTCCCTCCTGGAGTTTATGTTCCATATAAACTCTAAATGACAAAAAGCCAATCTTGTGAAGATTGAAAAGGAGTTCCCCCAGCAGGGCCAGTAACAAGCACAGAGGCTCTGGGATGGGTCCAGGATTGTTGGAAACTTCTGTAGTACTAATGGAAGGGCAGTAAAAGAGGTCAGGAAGGCAGGTAGATACCACAGAGGAAACTGAGACCCAGAGAGGTCAAGAAAACTATACAGTGTCCTGTAATTAGTGACTGTCAGAGCTGAGGCTTCAGTCCTCGCTTGGTTTCCAAATCCCATCCCCTTTGCATTGCACTGTGCTGTATTTGCCTCAGGAGTTCTAGGTGAGGCTGGACCTTCTGCGTTGAGGTGGAGGGTTGTGCTCCACCTGGTGGCTGGGCATGAGGAATTCGTTCAGACTGGGTTGGGGAGCTAAGTGACTGTGCCTTATCTTTTGACATTTTCCACAAAAGCCTTTAGATTTTCTTTACATGGATACTTGGAGTTGATGGAATCACTTCAGTTTTTGGACAGGCTCTGATCTTCTTATTGGAGTGGTTGATTGATACCATGGAATCACTAGGATGGGGCTTCTTAATAAAAGGTTGTCAGGGGTGGGGAAGGGTTTTGAAAAGAGTGGCTATTCAAAAAGAACCAGACTTGCCAGGTGTGGTGGCTCATGCCTGTATCCCAGCACTTTGGGAGGCTGAGACAGACGGATCACCGAGGTCAGGAGTTTGAGACCAGTATGCCAACATGGTGAAACCTCGTCTCTACTAAAAATAAAAAAATTAGCTGGCGGTGGTGGCACATGCCTGTAATCCCAGCTACTCAGGAGGCTGAGACAGGAGAATCGCTTGAACCCAGGAGGTAGAGGTTGCAGTGAGCCGAGTTTGTGCCACTGCACTCCCGCCTAGGCGATAAGAGTGAGACTCCATCTCAAAAAACAAACAGAAAAACAGAAAGAACCAGACTGGTTGTGATGACTCACACATGTGATCCTAACACTTTGGGAGACTGAGGCAGGAGGACTGCTTTAGCCCAGGAGTTGGTGACCAGCCTGGGCAACATAGGGAGACCCTGTCTCTACAAAATAAAAAAAAAATTAGCTGGGCATGGTGGCATATGCCTGAGGGCCCAGCTGAGGGGGAGGATGGCGTGAGCCTGGGGAGTCGAGGCTGCGGTGAGCTGTGATCATTCTACTGCACTCCGGCCTGGGCAACAGAGCAAGACACTGTCACCAACAAAAAAAAAAAAAAAAGGAAAAAAGAACCTGCAGATGTCAGGCCGACTTTTATTATAGGTTTTTCCTCAATTGCTGTCTGAATTTCTCACCCTTCCCCTTTGTGTTAGGACACGAGCAGAAGATATGAAAACAAGGCTGGCAGCTTCATCACTGGAATTGATGTCACCTCCAAGGTAAGACAGGCTATGATTTATTTATTCAGCTTGATAAGCAAGTGAACTTAATGAATTTGATCCCTAGGACATAACAGTAAATATTTCCTCTTTTATTTTGTTGCTGGATTTAAATTTTTTTTCTAAAAAAAATTGTGTTATTGGCCAGGCACGCTGGCTCATGCCTGTAATCCTAGCATTTTGAGAGGCCAAGCAAGTGGATCGTTTAAGCCCAGGAGTTCGAGACCAGCCTGGGCAACATAGTGAGACCCGTCTCTACGAAAGATACAAAAATTAGTCGGGTGTGGTAGCACAGGTCTGTAGTCCCAACTACTCAAGAGGCTGAGGTGGGAGGATCGCTGGAGCCTGAGAGGTTGAGGCTGCACTGAGCTGAAATCGTGCCACTGCACTCCAGTGGGGGCAACAAAAAAAAATTTTGTGTTATACAACGATGTCTTCATGCATCCTGAAACGGTACAGGCAGCATTTGTGTGTTCTTACAGCCATGAAAGGATAAAATCACTCTACTTAGATACCTGTGTTGAACCGTTTCCAAGAAAATGTCCAAGACGGGGGATGCTTTTTTAAATGGTATGTCCATTTCTAAAAAAATGTGTACTGTTTCCACTTGAAATGAAACAAAACATGAAAAGTGCCTGGCAGATGGTAGGCCCCCCATATTTAGGTGGAGTCTCGCTCCGTTGCCCAGGCTGGAGTGCAGTGGTGCGATCTCGGCTCACTGCAGCCTCCACCTCCTGGGTTCCAGCGATTCTTCTGCCTCAGCCTCCTGAGTAGGTAGGACTACAGGCGCCCGCCACCACGCCTGGCTAATTTTTGTAATTTTAGTAGAGACAGGGTTTCATTGTATTGGTCAGGCTGGTCTTGAATTCCTGACTTCAGGTGATCCACCTGCCTCAGCCTCCCGAAGTGCTGGGATTCCAGGTGTAAGCCACCGTGTCGGCATAATAGGCCCTTAATAAGACTATTGCCTTGTATCTGATGATTGCTATTACCAGATTACCACCTTCATTGTAACACCTCATAGAGTCAAGCCTATTATTTTCCTTATATGTAGTCAATACATGTAAGTTGCTTTAATCAGTGATGTTCCGTTTTAGACATTTTTTCTGATTTTAATGTTTACAGTTAAGTTTGGAACAGAATTTTGTATTACATTTCTGAATAATAGTATATATTGCTGTATTGAATACATAAAAGCAAAAATAAAAATATATTTCGTGCCTTCCTTTTTATAGTGTTTTTTTTTTTTTTTTGAGACAGAGTCTCACTCTGTCACCCAGGCTGGAGTTCAGGGGTGCGATCACGGCTCACTGCAACCTCTGCCTCCTGGATTCAATTGATCCCTCTGCCTCAGCCTCCCGAGTAGCTGGGACTACAGGTGGATGCTATCATGCCCAGCTAACCTTTTTATGGTTTATCTGTGTCTCTTGTGTTTCCAATCACTTAAAGGCCCCCCATCCCCGCAAAAAAAAAAAAAAAAAAAGAGAGAGAATTGGTCATCTTTTAGACAAGAAAAGAGAATAAAGTGAAAATCTTTTCTTACTGTAATTGAAAAAGTAAACTATTCATAATCTTACACTGTTTGCCATTATATGACACAGGTATATGGGAAAAGGGTGATAGTCTCAGAGTTAGTACTTTGTTTCTAAAGGAAGGTAAATTGTTGTTTGTACTAGGAAGACTTCAGTGAAGAAAATGAGCGTTAACTATTGGGAAAGAACAGAAGTGTTGCAACTTTACCAATCCCCACAAGCTCTCTGTAGTCAGACCTTCAATTAGTGTGGCAAAGTCAATATACAATTAGTGAAGGGGACTGGGCGCGGTGGCTCACATCTGTAATCCTGGCACTTTGGGAGGCCGAGGCAGGCAGATCACGAGGTCAAGAGATCGAGACCATCCTGGCCAACATGGTGAAACCCCGTCTCTACTAAAAATACAAAAATTAGCTGGGCGTGGTGGTGTGCACCTGCAGTCCCAGCTACTCAGGAGGCTAAGGCAGGAGAATCTCTTGAACCCGGGAGGCGGAGGTTGCTGTGAGCTGAGATCGTGGCAGCCTGGCGACAGAGTGAGAGTCCGTCTCAAAAACAAAAACAAACAAAACCAATTAGTGAAGGGTTCCTAAGAGCCATCAGAAACCCACAGTTGGACCTGGGTTTATTTTAGCTCTTAGAAGAAACTTACAAAGCTGATTATTTTTTCAGTAAAGTGTCAATGGTTCTTATCACTTAGAGATGAAAACTGGTGATTCCGTGGACACGAGGCTGGAAGAGGAGGGAGAGTTTCTTTGCTTCGGTGTTATTTTTAAACAGACTAGCTTTAGGGAGTGGACTGCTCAGGCAGTTATAATGTGGAAGAGCGTGATAGGTGTGATTACCATTGCTCAGACAATGTGAAGTGGTTGTAGGTGGGCTCCTAGAAATAGCACTGGAATCAGATCTGCTTGCTTAATAGCTGAAGTATCTCCAGCAAACCTTTTTGCTTTTTTGTGCCTCCATTTCTGCACCTGGAAAATTGGGATGTTGAAATTGTTTAGTTGTAATTTGTTGGCATAATTGATAATAACAAATGAAGTGTCATATAACTTTATAAACTTTAAAGGACTATTCATTCAGTCAGCAGATACTCACTGAGTTCCTACTATGTCCCAGGCACAGTGATAGGCTGTGTTATGTCGGAGATGGTTGCAAATTACAGCGATATTAACATATCCCCCCAGTCATTGAGTGTGAATATCCAGGTCTCTGCCAGACTGATTCAAGGTGTAGTGTTGCTTATTTCTTCTTTTTTAGTTCAGGTTTGTCACTGATGCATCATGATGCATGTGTGATTTAACTCGCCTTCTCCATATTTTACTACTTTCACTTTTTCTGTACTTTCTAGGAAGCAATTGAAAAGAAAGAGCAGCGAGCCAAGCGCTTCCATTTTCGATCGGAAGTAAATCTTGCCCAAAGAAATGTAGCCTTGGACCGAGACATGATGAAGAAAGGTACAGGGTGTTTTGTGGGAAATTTGTCCACATTTCCCCAGAGAGTGCCTTTTCCCTGCCATCACCTCATGCTTCTGGCCTTGCCTTGCGTGTCCACTCCTTATCCAAGCACTCTTGTGAGAAGGGACCTGTGAAGTCTCCATTTCTGAGGTCACCTGTTTAAAGTTCAGATGCTGTCAGCTGGCTCAGATGTTAGAGCTGGGAAATAAGAGATTGTCTTTTCTGAGGAGGCCCAGAAAAAGTTACCAGTTAGTGGCAGAGCTGAGATTCGAACCTGTGCTTCTAAGGACCCTTACTCATTTTCTCCTTTTATCGTAGAGGTGTTAACTTTTCTTTGCCTTTAAACGTAGTGAAAGTGTATCACAGTGAGACCTTCTTTTCGGGGAGTTAGAGCAATTTTGAGATTGGTGGGGAAAAGCCATTAACACTTTTGTTGATAATCTGAATCTATTGGCCAGGTGTGGTGGCTCATGCCTGTAATCCCAGCACTTTGGGAGGCCAAGGCAGGTGGATCACTTGAGGTCAGGAGTTTGAGACCAACCTGGCCAACATGGTGAAACCCCATCTCTACTAAAACTACAAAAATCAGCTGGGAGTGATGGCTGGCGCCTGTAATCTCAGCTACTCGGGAGGCTGAGGCGTGAGAATCGCTTGAACCTGGGAGGCAGAGGTTGCCGTGATCCGAGATTGCACCACTGCACTCCAGCCTGGGCGACAGAGCGAGACTCTGTCTTAAAAAAAAAAATTCTGAATCTATTGATAATCTGAATATCTGATATATGTAAACCACTCAGTAACATCCTGTTGTCAGAGAAAGCTAAACTAATCCTGCCCTGAGTTTTAAGCCTGCGCTTACAGTTGGACTTGTGATTTGATTTGATCTTTGTGTTTTTTTGGGGTATTTTGCTCCCTAGAACTCACCCCGAATTATTGTATATAGTAATCTGCCGCAGTTTTCTAAAGCAATTTATAAATAAAAGGAAAAATTACTACTTTTTTAGTGAGTCTATGTTCTTATTTATTATTCTACTATAATATAAATCCATGAATGCAGAAGGCTTCCCTCTGTGTTATTTGCAAATTTGGGTGTTCATAAAGGGTTTAGTAGGCAGCCTTCTGAATGCATGTTAAAGGCCTGTGCTGTATTGTATGAGCTTCTCTAGCCTTGTTTGGTTGATAAAAGCAAAAGCTCTGTAAATATATTGAATGAATGAAAGAATAGCTGCTATTTGTTGTGAACTTGCTTTTTTACTAGACTCGTTAAGCACATTATATATTTCTTTCTTTTTTGTTGCTCACAACAACTGTATGAGGAATTTATTTTTATCCCTATTTTATAAAGAGGAAGCAGGCTCAAAGAAGTTTAATAAATTGCCCAGGGTCATGTAGCTAGTAAAGGTGGAGTCAGGATTCACACCCAGTTTCTTTGACTCTAGAGCCTTGCCCTTAACTCCTTTGCTCTGTTGCTGTGTAATGTAGGATGTGGTGCTATCGACTGATATTGCGTCCCTCCTCAGTCAGTCCTAATGGGCCCAGCAGTGTGGATGCAGAGCTGAACTCTGGAAGCTGCTTCACTCTTTATCCTGCATGACCAGTTCAAGTCAGAAACACGCCCTTGCTTCCCTCATGGGCGGGGTTTCTGTTTGAGGAGAAGTCCTGTGAAGGCCAGGTGTGGCTTGACCTTCATGTGCCTGCACAGCCGGGCGCAAGCATACCTGTGAGTCTCTCTCACAACTCTACCGCGAGGGCGTCATAGCTTTATCACACCTGTCGACCTCTGGTCCCGAGAGCATTCCTTGAGGCGGCTTGCCTCTGATACGGCTCATGCCTTTCATTCTGTGCATTTGCCCTTCCTTGTCCCATGCTTTATCTCTGGTCAGGTGTCACTTCCCCCGTGGAGCATCTCTGCTCACCCACTTGAAGTGTTTTCTCACATCTGTTGGAGCTCTTTAGGGCGCAAAAGCCTCGTAGAATCTAGTCTCAGTTCCTTTGTGACTGAGGACAAGTTCTTGAGCCTTGTTAGTTTCAGTCTCCTTGTCTGTAAAATGGAAATATGATACTTACCTTAATAGGATCACTTTTGGGGTTAACTTTTAATTTAAAAAAATTTTTTTTTTTAACGTACAACTCCAGTCTCACGGTTCTAAAGATATTCCTAAAAAAGGCAGTAAGGTCGGCCGTGGGATGTCAGCTGGGGAAGCTTGCTTATTTCAGTCGATTCTTTGTCCAGGAGGCAGCATGGCCTAGGATAGTGTTCCTGAGCCCTGGGGAACCCTGCTGCCCATCTCAGACCACTTTATATTAGTTGGAGTTGGATAGGTCCCAGGGATAGTTACTGGTTTTCTTTTCTTTTTTTTTTTTTTTTTGAGACAGAGGCTTGCTCTGTCACCCAGGCTGGAGTGCAGTGGCGCAATCTCGGCTCACTGCAACCTCCACTTCCTGGGTTCAAGCGATTCTCCTGCCCCAGCCTCCCGAGTAGCTGGGACTACAGGTGCATGCCACCACACCCAGCTAATTTTTTGTATTTTTTAGTAGAGACAGGGTTTCAAGCTCCTGACCTCCTGACCTCGTGATCCACCCACCTTGGCCACTGCCCAGCATTTTTTTTTTCCTCTCTTTCTGTAGCCCAGGCTGGAGTGCAGTGGCGCGATCTCGGCTCACTGCAACCTCTGCCGCCCGGGTTCAAGCGATTCTCCTGCTTCAGCCTCCTGAGTAGCTAGGATTACAGGCACCTGCCACCGTGCCCAGCTAATTTTTGTAGTTTTAGTAGAGATGGGGTTTCACCATCTTGGCCAGGCTGGTCTTGAACTCCTGACCTTGTGATCCACCCGCCTCGGCCTCCCAAAGTGCTGGGATTACAGGTGTGAGCCACTGCGCCCGGCTGATAGTTATTCTTTTTATATCTTCTCAGGTAATTTTTATTTATTTATTTTTATTTTTTATTTTTTTTTTGAGAAGGAGTCTTGCTCTGTCACCCAGGCTGGAGTGCAGTGGCACGATCTCAGCTGACTGCAACCTCTGCCTCCCAGATTCAAGTGATTCCCCTGCCTCAGCCTCCCGAGTAGCTGGGACTACAGACGCACACCACCATGCCCAACTAATTTTTTGTATTTAATAGAGACGAGTTTTCACCATGTTGACCAGGGTGGTCTCGATCTCCTGACCTTGTGATCCACCCGCCTCGGCCTCCCAAAGCGCTGGCGTTGTAGGTGTGAGCCATTGCGCCAGGCCATCTTTTCAGGTACTTTTAATGTGCAGACAGGATTGAGGACCATTGGTTTCATGGTTATGAGCATGAGCTCTGAAGCCTAGTTACCTGGATTCAAATCTTAATCTGTTACTTTCTAGCTCTATGGCCTCGGGCAAGTTATTTAGCCTCTAAAAATCTCAGTTTCCTTATCTGGAAAGGCAGATGACAGGAATTCTTTTTTTTTTTTTTTTTTTTGAGAGACGGAGTCTCACTCTGTTGCCTAGGCTGGAGTGCAGTGGCGCAATCTTGGCTCACTATAACCTCCGCCTCCTGGGTTCAAATGATTCTCCTGCCTCAGCTTCCTGAGTAGCTGGGATTACAGGCACCTGCCACCACGGCCAGCCAATTTTTATATTTTTAGTAGAGACGGGGTTTCACCATGTTAGCCAGGCTGGTCTTGAACTCCTGACCTTGTGATCCACCCGCCTCAGCCTCCCAAAGTGCTGGGATTACAGGCGTGAGCCACTGCGCCCGGCCAATGACAGGAATTCTTATAGGGCTGCTGGGAGACTCTAACAAAATGTTACAGTCCATAGAGTGGCGCTTGGCACATGGCAGGTGCCCAGTTAATGTGGCTTATTATCATCATCTGGTATTCTCCATCTTCCCAGCCGTCATTTAAGTGACCTAGCTTCTTGGGCAAGTGAGGAAATTGGAATAACCATGTTGACTCCTGCATCCACACTAGGCGTCAAGTTCAAGTTATTTGTTATTAATACCAACAACAATAATAAAAGATAACGTGTGTTAAGTGCTTACTATGTGCCAGTCGCTCTGCTGTGTCATTAACTGATCCTTTCAACAGCCCTGTGAGGAGAAGGTGTTGATTATTTCCGTTTCACTGGGGAGAAAATGAAGGTGCTGAGGGGTTGGGAAACTTGCTCATAGTCCCACAGCTATGTAAGTAGCAAGGCTGAGGTTCAAAGACTGATCTGACTGAAACGTGTGTTCCTAACTGCTCTGCCAGCATTCAGACAGTTTGGGCTGTGGCACACTGGACTGTCCTGCATCAAGAGTGACTCGCTACATTTGAACGATTCAGTGTCAAAAAGGTTCAGTCTCTTTATGCCCAAGATTCAAACTCTCATGGTTGGAAGAGACCTCAGAGGTCATCTAGGTTAACCTTGTGCCCAACCCTGCAGGCCTTTTGGCAAACTTCCTACTGGTCTTTTGGCGGCTGCCTGAATGTTTCTTAAGTGACAGTGTGAGAACTATTTATGAGACAGGCAACTTTATTTTTGGGTACTTACTTGTGTTGAGCATTGCCTTCTAGTAATTTCTGTCCGTCAGTTACTGTGTGACTGTGAAGTCCTTTCATACAGTAGCCCTTCGGGTGCTGGAAGCACAGGCTTGCTGCCCATTCGCTCAACTTTGCTTCATGTGTCGCAACTTTCTGGTCTCCCTTCTCTAAACGCTTTGCCGTTTCTGAATGTTCTTTCTGAGGTGAGATATGGGTTCCAGTTATGGTTGGATTCACAGAGAGAACGGCAGGACTGTTCCTCACCGTTGTCTCTGTCTCAGCCATTTCAGTGTTGCACTCATCCTATATGCAGCCAAAGCACTTAGGTCTTTTCCCCAGGAATTGTGCCCATCAGAACAGTCTTTCTCATCATGTACTTGAGGCACTTTTTTAAAAAAATTACTTTTAAATGTAGTCCTATTAAATTACATCTTGTTGATTTCAAACCTCTGCTTTCAGTCTGCTGAGTGCATTTTCATCGTAACTCTACCTTTCAGCTCCTAGCTCTACTCCTCAGCTTCTTGCTCTCCATTGTGTACACGTGGCTTCTGTTTCTTCATCCAGTGGTTGGTGAAGGGTGGGCAGTGTCTTCCAGTATCATAAGTCTTATTCTATTACCATAAGGCCCACAGTTCCTTTTACTGTCATGAGGAACTGGATTACGTGGCTTAATGAACTTGAAATAGAGCACCGTCTATGTATTCTCTGAATTTCTTGATCTGGTAATCCTATCAAAAAAGAAATGAGGTTAGTGTGGCTTTCTTCTTTTTTTTTTTTGTTTCATCCACAGTCTTGGAGCTTGCTTCTTATGGAACTGTTGTCATTTCCTGTGGGAAAGATTTGGTTATTTATTTATTTATTTTTTAGAGATGGGGTCTCACTGTGTTGCCCAGGGTGGTCTTGAACTTCTGGATTCAAGTGATCCTCCCGCCTTAGCTTCCCAAAGTACTGGGATTACAGGCATGAGCCACAACGCCTGGCTAATTTTGTATTTTTAGTAGAGATGAGGTTTCTCCATGTTGGTCAGGCTGGTCTTGAACTCCCAACCTCAGGTGATCTGCCCGCCTCGGCCTTCCAAAGTGTTGGGATTACAGGCGTGAGCCACCGCGCCTAGCCTGCTGTCAGCATTTTTGATGAGCCTGTTCACTCTGGACTCTAATCTTTTCTTCATTAGCTCTTTTACAAACAGTTCATGCTCACCAAAGAAAATTTGTAACATAGAACAGGAAGAAAAGTTGCCCACGGTCTACCATCCAAACCCCGTCATTGTCAACAGTCTGTGTGTTTCCTTCTAATCTCTTATGGCAGTGAACTTTTGTTTTTCTCCTTTGCAGTCACACTGCTTTTTTCCATTCCCTGGACAGTCTATGGTCAGCATTTCCATGTTACTGTGTAGACTGGCATTAGTCGTTCAGATTTGTGCCATTCTCATTGTAATCCGTCTCTCTCCTACATGTGTGCCTTGGTCAGTTGTGCTCACCTAAAATTCGCTACCTTCTCTTTTCTAGGGAACCCCAGGAAATCCTTATTAGTGACCGGCAGTGCAATAGTGAACAGAGGCCTAAATGCGGATAAGGTTTATTGAGTCCAAGGGCCTTCTCGGTTCTTGGAATTAAAAGCCATGACTTTGGAACAGAAACAGCCTAAGGGAAGTAAAGAGATGGTTTCCTAGAATGCAGCAGAAAGCAAGGAGAGTCCTGAGTGATAGTAGAGGGAACAGACTGAGGATTAGGGAGAAAACATTAGGGAGACTTATTGATCTGACAAAAAATTTAATTTTAAATGAGACTAGCATAGAAAACAAAGACCAAAAAATGACAAAAATAATTATCAAGAGCATCATAACATTGTTCTAACATTACAACATTAAAAAAACCTACATACAGGTGAAGAAATACCTTAAAAGCAAACAGGAAAGAGTGTAAGGAACAAAATTTCTGGCCTCAGATGTCTTTTTTTTTAAAAAAAATAGAGAAGGTCTCACTGTGTCACCCAGGCTGGTCTCAAACTCTTGGGCTCAAGCAATCCTCTCATCTCGGCCTCCCAAGGTGCTGGGATTATGGGCATGAGCCACTGCACCCAGCCTCACATGTCTATTTTAATTTAGGGAAAGTCGTACACATCAAAACTTGGGCAATGGATAATCCTGTTCAAAAGAAGCAGGTAAAGATACAAAGAACAAAAAAAGAGAGAGATGCAGGCGCTGGGTGCAGTGGTGCACACCTGTAATCCAACACTTTGGGAGACCAAGACAGATCACTTGAGGTCAGGAATTCAAGACCAGCCTGGGCAACATGGTAAAACCCCATCTCTGCAAAAAATAAAAAAATTAGCTGAGCATGGTGGTTTTTTCTTTTGAAACAAAGTCTTACTCTGTTGCCCAGGCTGGAGTGCAGTTGTGTGATCATGGCTCATTGCAGCCTCAACCTCCTGGGCTCAGGCGATCATACCACCTCAGCCTCCTGAGTACCTGGGACTATAGCTGTACACCACCACACTCAGCTAATTTTTAAAATTTTTTGTAGAGATGGGGTCTCCCTGTGTTACCCAGGCTGGCCTCTCGAACTCCTGGACTCAAGCAGTCCTCCCACCTCAGCCTCCCAAAGTGCTGGGATTACACGCATGAGCCACCATGCCCACCTGGATTCATAAATCTTCATGGTGTCTTTATCTTTTTAAATCTGGGATGTCAGGAAAGCACTCAACTGAATTAGTCTGGCCACACTTACATGGGCTCATGTTAAACCCATCTCTTAACTCTTTGAGATTTAAAATTATTATGTGTTTAAAATTATTAAATGCATTTTTTTGTTTGTAAATTTTTTTTGTTTTAAATGGAAGTAATAGCATATATCTGCAGAAGAAGGATGGGCTAAAAAATTTTTAAATTTTGTTAATAGCATGTAAAAACATGCTTGGTAGTAATAGACATTAAATCCTTTTTTTATTTTTATTTTTTATTTTATTTTATTTTTTTTTGAGATGGCCTCTCGCTCTGTCACCCAGGCTGGAGTGCAGTCGTGCGATCTCGGCTCACTGCAACCTCCGCCTCCCGGGTTCAAGTGATTCTCCTGCCTCAGCCTCCCGAGTAGCTGGGACTACAGGTGCCTGCCACCACACCTGGCTAATTGTTTTGTATTTTTAGTAGAGACGGGGTTTCACCGTGTTGGCCAGGATGGTCTCGATCTGACCTTGTGATCTGCCCGCCCCGGCCTCCCAAAGTGCTGGGATTACAGGCGTGAGCCACCGCGCCTGCCCATTAAATTCTTTTTTACATTATTATTTTATTTATTTTAATTTTTGTGGGTACATAGTAGGTGGGTATATTTATGGGGTACATGAGATGTTTTGATACAGGCATGTGACATGAAATAAGCGCATCATGGAGAATGGGGTATCCATCCTCTTTTTTTTTTTTTTTTTTTTGCGACGGAGTCTTGCCCTGTCGCCCAGTCTGGAGTGCAATGGCACAATCTCGGCTTACTGCAACCTCTGCCTCCCAGGTTCGAGTGATTATCCTGCCTCAGCCTCCCAAGTAGCTGGGATTACAGGCACATGCCACCACACATGGCTAATTTTTGTATTTTTAGTAGAGACAGGGTTTCATCATGTTGTCCAGGCTGATCTCGAACTCCTGACATCAAGTGATCCACCCGCCTTGGCCTCCCAAAGTGCTGGGATTACAGGTGTAAGCCACTGTGCCCAGCCCCCTCAAGCTTTTATTGAGTTACAAACAATCCAATTACACTCTTTATGTTATTTTAAAATTTACAATTAAATTATTATTGACTGTAGTCACCCTACTGTGCTGTTAAACAGTAGATCTTGTTCTTTCTATTTTCTTATGGACCCATGAACCACCCCCTTGACAGAATTGCTTCAGAGAAGGAAGGGAAAGAAGGGATGTGGAGAGGTACTGTGGGCCCCAGTTTCATATGTAATGTTTTGTGTGCCTGAGATCTTATAACGAATTAAGCATAAAGCTAGGTAGTAGATATATAGATATTTTAAATTTACTTTTTCTTTCCCTTTTTTTTTGAGACAGAGTCTTGCTCCGTCGCTAGGCTGGAGTGCAGTGGCGCGATTTTGGCTCACTGCAAGCTCCGCCTCCCGGGTTCACGCCATTCTCCTGCCTCGGCCTCCCAAGTAGCTGGGACTACAGGCACCTGCCACCACACCCAGCTAATTTTCTTGTATTTTTAGTAGAGATGGGGTTTCACCATGTTGGCCAGATGGTCTCGACCTCTTGACCTCGTGATCTGCCTGCCTCTGCCTCCCAAAGTGCTGGGATTACAGGCTTGAGCGACCGCGCCCGACCTTAAGTTTATTTATTGATATATTTACAAATTTTGCAATTGAGATTAAAGGAGATAATGTACTTAAAATATGTAGTAAAAAAAGCCGGGTGTGGTGGCTCATGCCTGTAATCCCAGCACTTTGGGAGGCCGAGGCAGGCGGATCACCTGAGGTCGGGAGTTCGAGACCAGCCTGACCACCATGGAGAAACGTCGTCTCTACTAAAAATACAAAATTAGCATGGCGTGGTGGCGCATGCCTGTAATCCCAGCTACTTGGGAGGCTTAGACGGGAGAATAGCTTGAACCTGGGAGGCAGAGGTTGCAGTGAGCCGAGATTGCACCATTGCATTCCAGCCTGGGCAACAAGAGTGAAACTCCATCTCAAAAAAAAAGAAAAAAAAAAAAAGGTAGTTAAAAAAGTACGCAATTGGCTGGGCGCCGTGGCTCACACCTGTAATCCCAGCACTTTAGGAGGCCAAGGCGGGTGGATCACGAGGGCAAGGGATGGAGACCATGCTGACCAACATGGTGAAACCCCATCTCTTAAAAATACAAAATTAGCCGGGTGTGGTGGTACGCTCCTATAGTCCCAGCTACTGGGGAGGCTGAGGCAGGAGAATCGCTTGAACCCAGAAGGCGGAGGTTGCAGTGAGCCGAGATCGTGCCACTGCACTCCAGCCTGGCGACAGAGCGAGACTCCATCTCAAAAAATAAAAAGTATGCAGTCCTGATAAGGCTAAGTTTCTTTTTTGACCATAGCCTTCAACCTTTCTGCCTCCTCAGAAGTAACAGCAGTTATCAGTGTGACTCATATTGGCCTTTTCTGGGTGTCTGTGTACATAAATATGTACCCTTAGTAAATGTATGGTATTGTTTAATGTCATCACCTTGCATGTAATTTTTTACAACTTGTTTTTTCACTCTGTGATACATCTTAGAATCTTTCTGTGGTATATAATTATCTCATTTTTTACCACATAATATTTTATAATGTGGATAAAGCATAATTTATTACCCTGGTAACTACTGGGTTATTAGAAATCGTGCCTTAGCAAACATCTTCGTGTGAGCTACTTCGTGAGCCCACATGTATGTGTTTGTTGAGGGGCGATACTGAGGACTGGAGTTCCTAGGTCCGTAGGGCACGTGCAAAATCACGTTTTCTGCAGACCCTTCCATTTGCCCTCCGCAGTGACGATGCCCACCAGCCGGGGAAGTAAGCCTTTCCCCTACTTACTGCCAGCACTTCACACTAAAAGATGTAAGATATCTCGATTCAAGGACCAGAGACGCAGGAAAAATAAGGTGTAAAATCTGGTCCGTGAAAACTGGTGTCTTCTTGTTTTCATGTGCATGTTAATGATTGGTAGTGAGGTCAACCCATCTCCTCATATATTTATTGGCCTTTTGTATTTCCTTTTATGTAAATTGCTTACTCATGTCCTTTGCCCATTTTTATTTTGGGTTGTCTTTTTCTTCTTAATTGACTTGTAGCATCTCTTTAGTTTCATGCTTTGACATAGTCACGGGCAGCATCTCTTCTCTTTCAGAATTGTCTCCACTACTGCGCGTTTCTCTTTAACATACATTTAAAAATTTTAGAAGCAGCTGGCTAACTTCAACAAATACTCCTGTTGAGCTTGATAGTGCTCTGATTGCTACAGATTAATGTGGGGAGAGGTATCGTGTATTTTATCAACACCCTTTGTTTAATCTTTCTGAGCCTGATAGGCCTGTTCTGAATTAATGCTGTCGTTGAGTGATAAAAATTAAGATAGTTTACCTTACTGTTATGTCTCGTGCTCTTTTGAAATAATTATAGTTTCTCTCAGCATGTTTCTTTCTAAACTCGTGTTGTCTGAACTATTAGGAAGGAGTGTGGATGGGATGTGCAGTTGCGGACAGGAAAATTCTATCATCTTTTCTGTGTCTTGTCTTTCTAGCAATCCCCAAGGTGAGACTGGAGACAATCTATATTTGCGGAGTAGATGAGATGAGCACCCAAGATGTCTTTTCCTATTTTAAAGAATATCCTCCAGCTCACATCGAATGGTTGGATGATACCTCCTGTAAGTACACCCGAGTTTCCTGTGAATATGCTTTTGTTGATGATTTTTCAAGAGTTCTTGCCATCAGAGATGGTGAATGGTTCTGGCCCATACTACTTGTTTATGCCGAACTTCTGCTGTTAGTCCAGGAGAGAAAAAATTGTCGAGCAGTGAAACGCAGCATGCCCTTGCCAGTCTGCCAGCTCATACCCCATAGTGTCCCACGTCAGCTGAGAGGTGGTGGCCAGGGCTCTAGGAGGTGGGTTACTGGCCTCTGAATCTGCCGTAGTTGATTGAGGCCTCTTTAACACTCACCTTTTCCCAACAAAGGAGAGGATCCAACTGCGTAGACTTGGGGCTGCATTTTCAGAGCCTTGGACTTTGTCATTACTGCCTTCTGTACTGTTACTCAGAGGGCTGACTCTGCCTGTGTCTCTGACCTAGAGATAGACCAGAATAGACACTGGACAGAGTGTCATTCTGAATAGACAGAATGACCTAGAGCTAAACACTCTACTAGACTTCTCATTTCTGCTTGCCTTGAACTGTGTGTTCTAGAATGTCACCTGCTTGCCCTGACCCATGAGCTTTCCAACTTGTGGGCCAACTGTAATTTTTAACTTGCCTGCTTACTGTAAGTCTGGCCTGACCTCTTGTTACTGCTTTGCTGGCTTCTTGTCTTGACTTACTTCTAGTCTGGCTTTACTTGCTGCCAGCTGGCTGACCTGCTGGGTAGCACCCTAGATGGCAGCCGGTTTTCTTAGCTGCTCTCGTAGGAAGATGTTTTCATTGAAAGACAAACATGACTGAGTGAAACATTTTTCTCCTGTTTTCTTTCTGTTTAACTTACACTATCCAAATCGGGAATTGGCAGACCTTTTTCTGTAAAGGGCTGGAATGCAGATACTTGAGGCTTTGTAGGCTTAACGGTCTCTGTCACATCTGCTCAGCTCTGCTGTGGTAGCATGAAAGCAACTATAAATAATACAGAAGCTATGAGTCTGGCTGTTTTCCAGTAGAACTTTATTTACAAAAACAGGCGGTAGGCCAGGCACGGTGGCTCAGGCCTGTAATCCCAGCACTTTGGGAGGCCAGGGCGGGAGGATCACTTGAGATCAGGAGTTCAAGACCAGCCTGGCCAACGTGGCAAAACCCCGTCTCTACTAAAAATACAAAAATTAGCCTCATGTGGCGATGCACACCTGTAATCCCAGCTATTCAGGAGGCTGAGGCAGGAGAATTGCTTGAATCTGGGAGGCAGAGGCAGCAGTGAGCCAAGATAGTGCCACTACACTCCAGCCTGGGCAACAGAGTGAGACTCCATCTCAAAAAGAAAGAAAAAACAAAAACAAAAGCAGGTGGTAGATGTGTGTAGTTTATTGTACATTAATTAAACCTAAATAAAGCTGGTACAAATGTAAATAAACAACAGGTGGTGGGCTAGATTTTGCTTGAGGGTTATAGTTTACTAACCCTGATTTAAGTCATTAAAACTGTGACTAAGGTATATTAGAATTGGAGGGACTCTCAGAATTACATAGTTCACCTACCTTGTATTATTTATCAGAACCTGAGAAACAGAGGAAGGAACATATTTGCCTCAGGCCACATGGCACATTAGTAACAGAAGTGAGAGCCTCAGAGCTTCATTTCCCAAACTGAGATATAGGGGACGCATAGTTTTGAGAAATACTCTTTTAAGTTTATTTTCCGTAAGATTTCTCAAAGCTCTTTTCTTGCTAAATTATCTTCCTTAAAGAGGCACATTAAATTAGTTGCTACAAAGCCAACTGGCTGTCATGCCTCCATTCTACATATCCCAGGGATACCTTCATCATCCACGTTTTCCAATGGGAATGATGAAGGGGGAATTCGTTTAGCATGTCCTGACAAGGAGCAGCAAAGGGCTTCCCTGTAGGGGGCGGTAGTGTAAAGGACAATCCAAACTTACTTGACAGTTATCAAGAACTGCTAATACTTACATATTGAGTGTTTAACTACCTGTGTTCTGTTCCAAGTAGTTTAAATATACACAACTCTTTTTCATGGAATACTTAAGTTATTTTGTGGAACCCAGTTTGGAAACGCAGCTCTAGGCTAATTTCATCAGAGAGATTTTACTACCCTTTTCTTTCTTTTCCCTCCCCTTCCCTTCCATCTTTTCCCTTCCCCCTTCCCCTTTCCCCCTACCCTTCCCCCTTCCCTTTTCCTTTCCGTTCCGTTCCATTCTGTTCCATTCCTTTTGTTTTTTCTTGACAGAGTCTCGCTCTGTCGCCCAGGCTGGAGTGCAGTGTGGCATCATCTCGGCTCACTGCAAGCTCTGCCTCCCGGGTTCACGCCATTCTGCCTCAGCCTCCCGAGTAGCTGGGACCACAGGCGCCCGCCACCACGCCCGGCTAATTTTTTGTATTTTTAGTAGAGACGGGGTTTCACCGTGTTAGCCAGGATGGTCTCGATCTCCTGACCTCGTGATCCGCCTGGCTCGGCCTCCCAAAGTGCTTTCTCTCTCTCTCTTTTTCTTTCTTTCATCTCTCTCTCTCCTTCCTTCCTTCCTTCCTTCCTTCCTTCTCTTTCTGTCTCTCTTTCTCTTTCTTTCTTTCTTTTTTATTTATTTTTAACTTTTCATTTCTTTTGAGACAAAGTCTCACCCTGTTACCCAGGCTGGAGTGCAGTGGTGTGACCTTGGCATACTGCAGCCTCAATATCCTAGGCTCAATCCATTCTCCCACCTCGGCCTCCCAAGTAGCTGGGACTACCGGCTCATGCCACCATGACTTTTGTATTTTTTTGTAGAGACAGGGTGTCACTATGTTGCCCAGGATGATCTCACTCCAAGCGAGTCTCCTGCCTTGGCCTCCCAAAGTACTGGGGTTATAGGTGTGAGTCACCATGCCTGGTCTATATTTCTCTTCATTAGTTGGTTTGTATATTTACTGATGATAATCTGTTGCTAGATGAGGCTGTAGTGATGAATGCGATGCAGAATCTGCTCTCAAGAAGCTTACCATTTCCATGCTGTGTAATGTCTTATTTTACATTTTATTTTAGGTAATGTAGTTTGGCTGGATGAAATGACAGCCACACGAGCACTTATCAATATGAGCTCCCTGCCTGCACAGGATAAGATCAGAAGCAGGGATGCCAGTGAGGACAAGTCAGCTGAGAAAAGGAAAAAAGGTAACAACACAAAGGAGGGAACTGGGGTCTGAAAGTCCTCTTCTTTACACAGTCCTGTTTCTGAGCAGAGCTCTATATAGCATCTCATCACCAAGTGTTTCTGAACTAATCTATGATGCTTGAGATCATCAGGAAATAGGAGAAAATACTGGACTTTTAAAATTATATGAGATAGTTCATCTTGTATCTCATTATATGAAATATTTTATCTTGTTTCATCTTGTCCTTCACATTCCATTTTAGACAAGCAGGAAGACAGTTCAGATGATGATGAAGCTGAAGAAGGAGAGGTTGAAGATGAGAACTCAAGTGATGTAGAGGTTAGTAATAGGGGAAAGATAGATGTAAAGTTATTGTAAAAAATTGCTCACTGTCTTTTTAACTTAAGCCTTAAAGACTTAGTTACGTTTTTTCTCTAGCTTTCACCATTAGACCTTCTGAGGGTGCACCAGGCTCTTGTCCTTTAAGTTAGTGTGGATATAGCGATTCACCTTGAAATCTTAGAATAGTGCTTATGCTTCTACAAAAAAAGAAAATAGTTTTATTGAGAAATACTTTGAAGTGTTATCTAATTAGTAAAATGAAGAAACAGCAAGTAATGGCATACTTCCTAATGGATTATGTACTGTTGTTAAAAATATTAACATGCATTCATTTAAAAAATATTTACTGAGTACCTATTATATACCATATTCTAAGTGCTAGGGATATAGCTTCAAGCAAAACAAAGTCCTGGCCCTCTCGGAGCCTGCATTCTAGTGGGGAGTGCAGAGGATACACTGATGCACAGATATCTCATACTGTGTCAGGTGGCAATGAGTGTTGTGAAAAGAGTAGGGGATAGAGAATGATGGAGACTGTTCTTTTAGACAAGGTGGGCAGGGGAAATCTCTGAGTTAGAAATTCTACAGCGGAACTAGTGCTATAATGCTTGTAAGTATTAAAGGTAGAATGCTTTTCTTAATGGTAGCTTTACTACTGAAGAAATATCAAAAGGACTTTAATTTTTATATTAAAAATACTCTTCTTTCTTAAGTTGGATACGTTGTCTCAGGTAGAAGAGGAGTCTTTGTTAAGAAACGATCTTCGTCCAGCTAACAAACTTGCTAAAGGAAATAGGTTATTCATGAGATTTGCTACAAAAGGTAAATGTAATATTTGGTATTGTTTTATATTTTCAATCAAAATGATTTATTATGGAGTGACATCCTTCTTTTTTGAATAGAAGTTAGATCAAGTAATCTCAAAGTTCCCTTCAAACTATAATATTCTGCGCTTATGAAATAATTGCTTGCCACCTGAGTTGGAATTTCTGACTTTAAAAGTGAATATTAACTATTTGTATATTTCTGTGACTTCTGGCTAAAGTTATTTTCTGTTGAAACTGGTTTGCCTCATATATTTTCAGCCAGTTACCATCTGAATTATGAAAACTTTCAAATGAAACTTTATTTATTACAGCAACGTCCTCCTGAACATTGCCAGTGTACCATTCGGTTCTAATTCCCTTCTCATAAGATTGTTTACACATGGTGACTTTTGGTGGGCATTTAAAAATGTGTGTGTATGTGTATATATGTATGTGTATGTATGTGTATATATGTATATGTATGTATGTATCGCGTGTATGTGTGTATGTATG